>NC_000005.10:92837079-93140110 GCF_000001405.40 Homo sapiens | reverse complement strand
ACATGTAATTCAGACCTGACCAATGAGACTCTGAATCTCTTAGGACCATAGGAATTGGTTCAGAAATAGGCATGTGATCCCACCATAGAGAATCAGATGTCAAGAGACTGTTAGGACTTCTAAGACAGAGGAAAATAGTGAAGTGGGGCCTGTGGAAGTCATCCTAACTATAGGTGGAGATGAAACTGAAGCTGACACAGCAGAAGCCAGATGGAAGTGGTGGAAAGAAAACATTTATTAGAGCTGGGTTTCCTTGGTTTATCTACCATGTGCATTCAAAAGAGTTCTAATTAATACAGTACTAAATTTTTTGCTCCTTGTTTATGAAACAGCACCTAAGAAGGAGAAACCTATGATTTTAAGTACAACGTTTACAGAATAATGTCACTGTAAAGTCAGCTATGGTGGGTTCATTTGGGTCTGACACTAGGAACTTCAGTATTAAGATATTTTGAAGCTGAAAAAGGTCAAATTTGCCCATGATGTTTTGCTTTAAATAAAAGTGGTTCCCCAATAAATAGTTGTACTCTGGAACATTTTTGCCATATATAATATCTAGATACATGTTATTGATTAAATCTAATGTCATCAAAGGAAAATAGGCAATTGACAGATGTCACTCAAATAACAGATTGACATATGGTATGCAAGCAATTTTGATGCTCCTTTAAAGAGACCAGTTCCTAAAATTCAACAAACCTTCATGCTAAAAACTCTCAATAAATTAGGTATTGATGGGACGTATCTCAAAATAACAAGAGCTATCTATGACAAACCCACAGCCAATATCATACAGAATGGGAAAAAAACTGGAAGCATTCCCTTTGAAAATGGGCGCAAGAGAGGGATGCCCTCTCTCACCACTCCTATTCAACATAGTGTTGGAAGTTCTGGCCAGGGCAATCAGGCAGGAGAAGGAAATAAAGGGTATTCATCAGGAAAAGAGGAAGTCAAATTGTCCGTGTTTGCAGATGACATGATTGTATATCTAGAAAACCCCATCGTCTCAGCCCAAAATCTCCTCAAGCTGATAAGCAACTTCAGCAAAGTCTCAGGATACAAATTCAATGTACAAAAATCACAAGCATTCTTATACACCAATAACAGACAGAGAGCCAAATCATGAGTGAACACCCGTTCACAATTGCTTCAAAGAGAATAAAATACCTAGGAATCCACCTTACAAGGGATGTGAAGAACCTCTTCAAGGAGAACTACAAACCACTGCTCAACAAAATAAAAGAGGATACAAACAAATGGAAGAACATTCCACACTCATGGGTAGGAAGAATCAATATCGTGAAAATGGCCATACTGCCCAAGGTTATTTACAGATTCAATGCCATCCCCATCAAGCTACCAATGACTTTCTTCACAGAATTGGAAAAAACTACTTTAAAGTTCATATGGAACCAAAAAAGAGCCCGCATTGCCAAGTCAATCCTAAGCCAAAAGAACAAAGCTGGAGGCATCAAGCTACCTGACTTCAAACTATACTACAAGGCTACAGTAACCAAAACAGCATGGTACTGGTACCAAAACAGAGATATAGACCAATGGAACAGAACAGAGCCCTCAGAAATAATGCTGCAAATCTACAACCATCTGATCTTTGACAAACCTGAGAAAAACAAGCAATGGGGAAAGGATTCCCTATTTAATAAATGGTGCTGGGAAAACTGGCTAGCCATATGTAGAAAGCTGAAACTGGATCCCTTCCTTACACCTTATACAAAAATTAATTCAAGATGGATTAAAGACTTACATGTTAGACCTAAAACCATAAAAACCCTAGAAGAAAACCTAGGCAATACCATTCAGGACATAGGCATGGGCAAGGACTTCATGTCTAAAACACCAAAAACAATGGCAACAAAAGACAAAATTGCAAATGGGATCTAATTAAACTAAGGAGCTTCTTCACAGCAAAAGAAACTACCATCAGAGTGAACAGGCAACCTACAGAATGGGAGAACATTTTCGCAACCTACTCATCTGACAAATGGCTAATATCCAGAATCTACAAAGAACTCAAACAAATTTACAAGAAAAAAACAACCCCATCAAAAAGTGGGTGAAGGATATGAACAGACACTTCTCAAAAGAAGACATTTATGCAGCCAAAAGACACATGAAAAAATGCTCATCATCACTGGCCATCAGAGAAATGCAAATCAAAACCACAATGAGATACCATCTCACACCAGTTAGAATGGCGATCATTAAAAAGTCAGGAAACAACAGGTGCTGGAGAGGATGTGGAGAAATAGGAACACTTTTACACTGTTGGTGGGACTGTAAACTAGTTCAACCATTGTGGAAGTCAGTGTGGCAATTCCTCAGGGATCTAGAACTAGAAATACCATTTGACCCAGCCATCCCATTACTGGGTATATTCCCAAAGGATTATAAATCATGCTGCTATAAAGACACATGCACACATATGTTTATAGCGGCACTATTCACAATAGCAAAGACTTGGAACCAACATAAATGTCCAACAATGATAGACTGGATTAAGAAAATGTGGCACATATACACCATGGAATACTATGCAGCCATAAAAAATGATGAGTTCATGTCTTTTGTAGGGACATGGATGAATCTGAAAACCATCATTCTCAGCAAACTATTGCAAGGACAAAAAACCAAACACCACGTGTTCTCACTCATAGGTGGGAATTGAACAGTGAGAACACATGGACACAGGAAGGGGAACATCACACACCGGTGACTGTTGTGGGGTGGGGGTAGGGGGTAGGGATAGCATTAGGAGATATACCTAATGCTAAATGACGAGTCAATGGGTGCAGCACACCAGCATGGCACATGTATACATAGGTAACAAACCTGCACGTTGTGCACATGTACCCTAAAACTTAAGGTATAATAATAAAAAAAAAAGAGGTTATCAAAGTAGGCCCTAATCCAACATGACTGGTGTCCTTATAAAATGAAGAAATTTGGACATAAAGACACAAAGGCAAGACAATGAGAAGTCTTAAGGAGGAGATGGCCATTTACAAGTCAAAGAGAGAGGCCTGGATTCTCTTCTCACAGCCCTCAGGAGAAATCAACCCCAGCAACATCTTGATCTCAGACTTCCAGCCTTTAAAGCTGTGAGAAAATAAATTTATTTTGTTTAAGTCACTATAGCAAACTAATACTGAAGGTTGGCAAGAGAAGGAAGGGAAGGAAGAATTAAGGAGAGATAATGCAATCTATGATGATGTTATTCTGCTTATCATTTTAAAAATTAACATAGTGGGCCGGGCACCGTGGCTCACGCCTGTAATCCCAGCACTTTGGGAGGCTGAGGCAGGCAGATCACCTGAGATCGGGAGTTTGAGACCAGCTTGACCAACATGGAGAAACCCCGTCTCTACTAAAAATACAAAATTAGCCGAGCGAGGTGGCGCATGCCTGTAATCCCAGCTACTCGGGAGGCTGAAACTCTGTCTCAATAAAATATAAATAAATTAAAAAAAACAAAAAACAAAAACACCAGTTCCTTCACACTCAATAAATCATTGCAATATTTCTATTATAACATTTTGCCAATTATTATTTGATGTTGTCTCCTCAAATTAACCCATGAAAAACCTTTTCTTTTGTTCTCATTTAACTTTAGTTAATCCAGTTAAATGATACATAGTTTGTTTATGTTTTTTTGGAGGTTTTTACGATTTTTATTTTTATTTTGTATCAGTGATCAAATAGCTTAATAGTTTATAAGCTATAATATTTATCTTAAAAGAATAGTGTATAATTTAATTAAAAACGCAAGATAAAACTTTTGTGGGGAATTTTTGAAACTGTAGAAGACCCTTCCACTAAGTTCTTTTTAAAAAAATTAAATAAAATTCTTCTTCACCTTCTAAATGATACTATTCCACCCAGAACAAAAGCACCCATTCAAAAATGTTAGAATTAAATAGGTTTTAAGAAATGTTGCCCTTGACTGCTCTGATTGTAGTTTTCACAACCAGGCACTGGTAGGTTGTAGTCACAGCTTACGGCAGGCTCTGTTTTGAGCTTTGACACACCAGAGTTACAGAAGGGAGTGGAGCTAAATGTTTATCAAGTTGGAATGTTGAGGATCAGTCTCAGTATAATAGACACTAATACTTCCTTTTTGCATTTATCTTTTCTGCTAGAATCTGAGTTCTGTGGCACCTACAAGAGAAATGGCTGCTTATATGTGACAACCTGCAGATCTGAGCAGCAGGGGAACAAAGGCAGGGCCAACACAATGGCACTGGTCCCGTTGAGTCCTGGGGAGTCCTCAGCTTTCAGGAGTCCCCTGAATATGGGGCAACCCCACAGGTCTGAAATACTACACTTTGACTAAAAATCTTAATGTTGGGCTGGAAGAGATGAACTTCTAGGGCTGGTAGAAGGAGTTGAGAATGAGGTGGCAGATTTTCCTCCTTTTTATGATCCCATGAAAACAGAATAATTTACCCGTGTAAGACCTAAGGAAATGTACATTATTTGAGAATGTGCACAGCTGAATAAATGGTATGATGGTTATGCCAATATTTAGTAAAACTAAAGGAGAAAAAGAAACTGTAAACAAATATAAGGACCAGCCATATATATATATATATATATATATATATATATATATATATATGACAGAATATACATTTATATTCACTCATTATACATTAATGTTCATGCTTCATCTGTTGTGTACAAGGTACATTGCTGGCTTACCATAGGAGAAAGTGAAGGCTAATTAATCAGAGAATTTTACATTAATGTACATGTAATCTAATAGGTATGGCAATAAAAAGTTATAAAATCTACTTCACGAACAAGTTCAGGAATAATTTTATGTTCAGAGGACTTCTGGCTGGTATGATCAAGAAAAGCTCTATGGAAAAAATGATATTTTAGCTGTGACTTGATGATTGTGGGAAATTTGTAAGGTCATTCCTGTTGAAGGAAATAGCATGGATAAAGTTATGCAGGCAGAAAAGTGAGAGTTCAGATAGTGAACAGCAAGTAGTTTATGAATAGAAACACTAAACTATAAATCAGAAATATAAAATAAATGAAGGCCAAATCATGGAGGTACTTTAAAGCTATTTAAAGGGTTTTGTAGTTTCTCTTTGAGGTAATGGGGAGACATTAACTGCTTCAGAGCATGAAGAAAAGACAGTAAGGTTTAAGGAAGGCTAAGATGGTTAGGGAATGGGAGGCTATTGCATTTGTCCAAGTGGAAGAAATGGAAAGAAGGCATGGTTGGGAGAGAGTAAAACAATGAACAGGCCTCGGCAAGTGATTGAGTGTGAGGCCATAGGCCAAGAAAGAAGTAAAAGATGACTTTGAGGATACAAGAAGGTTACTATTTAAAAAAGGAAATTCAGAACAAAAAGCAAATACAGTAACAGAAAGGAATCAAAAGAATGTAATTCTCTTAAAGATTCTAGTCAATTCTTCATAGACATAGAACCTCTGAATAAAACTATGACTCAATTTTTTTAAATGTATATCCTACTTAAGAGTGCTGTGCTGAACACCATCCTATGATAGAATCATTGTGATTATGATACAATCATATTTGCAAAGTTCTAATTCAAATAAACTGATTTTTTCTACTCTGCTTGTGCCAGCTGCCTGCACCAAGTGAAGAAATGACCTCTTTCTTTCAAAAACTATTTATTACAGATGCAAGACCTACATATTTTATTTCCATATGTGCTCTGTTGATCCATGGAAAATTTCAGCTGTAGGATTTCTTTTAGTAGAGATAAAAACCAATAATGTATGAAATAGACATCATCACCAACATAATATTAAAAAATATGAGGCAAACAGTATATTCAACATTATAGAAATGACATATATAATATATATATTAAAACGCAGTTATTTCTTCCAGTATTAGTAATGTCTTGAACTCTCACCAAGCATGTAGCTAACCACCCAAGAGTTTTAAGCTATGGATTCAAAATAATAAGTTCTGTGAATGTCTAACAGGAGAGTCCTCAAATAACAACTGCTTCTGCAGCCTTGAAATTGCAGTATCTGGGAGAGAACTGGTGCAATATGAAGTCCCGTGGACCTAAAGCCAGAAACATTTCCTCATAAAAGAAACACACCTCTGTCTGTAAACGTAGGTTGAGAACAGAGCTGAACTAGGGTGAGTCAAGGAGGCACACTGATGCAAAATGTCAGGAGGTTCTCACTCTCAGGAGCTGATCTGGGACCTGCACGACCCTAAGGTTGTGCCTTCTATTTTGCACCCTTGGTACTTGCTTGTTTCATCCTAGTCACAGACCCTGATTGAAAGCAAATCTTTCAAAGAGAACATCAAACTTCCAAGAATGTGAATTGCATCTTTATTATGCTTCTGCCCTTGGGCCACAAAAATAATAGCAGTTACTTGGGGTGGGGAGAGGATTCTGCTCTCCAGGGGCAGGCATCAACGTCAATTAAGACCCTATGGTTGTAAGCAACAGAACTGACTTTATCCAGTGTGGGGGGAGAAAAAACAAAACTTATGAGAAAAATATTGGAGTGGCTCCTATGGTGGAAAGGAAATTTGAAGAACCAGATTTAGGAAGGGCAGGGAACAATTCTGAGGTTCTGGTAGAAGGAATCATTGTTGCTAGAAGGTATAGGCTCCAACTGTCGTGCTCCCATACCTCCTGTCTTTGCTTCATTCTGCTCAAGCTATAGATTGAAAAAAAAAAAAAAAAAAAGAAAACAGTTTGGTTGGCTGAGCTTGGGTCACATATTTTTCTGTTATATTCCTATGAAAAAGTTCCTATTAAATAGTGAGGGATAATTAATTTCTTAAAAGGAATTTCGGGTTCATTGTCCAATACAGTCAGAATGGATATTGGGCAACCAGAAAGTAGCAAATAACCACTGTAGTTTGAGCATTTCAGATTGTGAATTTGAACAGAGTCTTGCCCAAATGTTTTGGCCTGTTGTCCGTTAGGTAGGCTGCCAGTGAGATAAACACACTTGCTTAAAACAGCTTTGTGAATGAAATTTTCCCCAAGTTTCACCTGCCTCATAGAGTATGATTAAATGAGACATTGTACATTAACCATTTAAAACAAAGCCAGCACAAATAAGTGCTCAGTAAATTAGCTATCTTGATAATTTAAAAATACCAACGTGGGTCATTTCGAAGAGTAATTTGAGCCACTAAATCATTTATTTACTCATTTCACAAATATTAGCACTTACTATCTAACTGATTGCTAGGTACTCTGTTAGGCTGTCAGTATTGAAGGATGAAAGGTATTGTTCCTGCCTTTATGGCACTTATCATCAAATGGGAATGCAGTTAGAGGGACAAGCATGTAAATAATGACAGAGCCGAATGTAGTGCTAGTGGTATTCTCAGAGTGGCTGAGCCTGATAGGGCAATTTAGGGGAGTGGAGAGTCAGGGGCAGGAGACAAATGGTAGGTCATTCTGGTCTGTTCCAAGACTAGACTTCATGGAAATGTGTTATAATAAGAGTTCATGGAAGCAGCATCTCCACAAAGCAGCAGCAGAAAAAGAAAAAATCCTCTTTGAACCAAGTTCTCCAGTTAAAATATTTCATGAATCAAAATCACAGGAATCAAAACTTTATTCCAATTATTACTTGTGTTCCCACATTGAGCAAGGCAGTATTTTCTCTTAAGTGATTTTTAGAAGATCAAATATGTGCCTAATGCCTTTTCATTTCCCCCTACACTTACAAATTTATTTTTATTTAGTTCTCAAGAGAATTTTTAAAGCAAGTAATATTTCCCTATTCAAACTGAGGCTCCTTTATCACCAGGTTATGAGAAAGATTATTTAGCCTGAATATCCTTTATGTTTTTAATAGAGAAAAGATTGACACTCAGAGAAGTTTAGGGGCTTGTCCAGGGTTGTGTACAGTTGATAGATGAGTAAGACATTGGTCTAAAAGCATAAATAATTTCAGTAAGGCAATGTATCCAGTTGTTGAGTAAGCTGAATTGAGCATGCACTGTGGCTTGAATCCCAGCCTTGGGATTCCACTTTGCAAAACAAGTAACAAAAGTGATCAAAGATAAAATATTTTCCCCTAACCAAAATGTGTACTTTGAACACATGTTGTATCTTCTTCGAACCCACGTTGACTGGTGATAATCTCTCTTGTTGCTGTCACTTTATTGAAGGGGCAGTCGATCATGGAGATGGTGAATGCAGGAGCTGGAAGGGTCAGATCTGGACTGGCATCCTGCCTTTATCACTTACTAGTGATGTAGGCTTGGACAACTTAACCAATTTCTGTAAGCCTCAATCTCTTTTGCTGTCAAATGAAGATAGTAATGGTATCATGTATGCCACGTAATACATTTAGCATATTATCTGGTACATAAATATTAGATATTGCTGATATTAATTAGTAGAATGAATGGAAAGATTGGATAGAGGCTAAATATTGTTTTCGTTCCAGTATTAGTCGGGGCTTTCCAGAGAATCAGAACCAAAGAAAGATTTGTTTTAAAGAACTAACTTGTGTGATTATGGAGCTAGTGAATTTAAAGTCTTCATGGTGGGCTGGCAAGCTGGAAATCCAGGGAAGAGTTGATGTTGCAGATCAAGTTGGAAGGCAATCTACGGTAGGATTCCTCTTTGCTTGGTGGAATTTCTGTGCTATTCAGCTCTTCAACTGATTGGATCAGTCTCATCCACATTATGGGGTGCAATCTGCATTACTCAAAGTCCAATGCTTAAAATGTTAATTTCATCCAACACACTCTCACAGAAATATTCAGTAGAGTGCTTGACCACATGTCTGAGTATCTTGGCCCACCCGCGATAGCACATAAATCTAACCAGCACAGTTCCAAAGCATCTTAACCATGTTTTAAAAGTTTCAATGTCTTGTCTGGTATCAGTGAGGCCATCACTTCAGTCACAGAACTCAAGCCAGCTATTATTTTGACAGGGTTGGATGCAAATCACTTTTTTTCTCTTTGCTAATAATGAAGCAGTCATACTCTGTGATGGGCTCTGTTTGCCACTTTTTTTTTTCCATAAATTAGTTCCAGCCATGGAGATTCACTGGCTCTCACATGCTACCTTCTTCCAAAGTAATATCAGCTGCATTATTCCCAAACTAATTAAAGAGGCATCTACTCAGCTATTGCTAGTCACATCCAAGTCACTCATATTCCTCTAGAGCAGTGACATTCCCTTCAGTAGCAATAGCTGACCCTTCGTGGTTGTTAAGATTATTCAGATGCTGGCTCTAAAATCTAGGCTTGTTTTGGAATGAGCCCTGTGGGAAGCAGTCAGCTGGTGTGGAGCCATTTCAATTGAGGCCTTAGCGGTCAGGACAGATCTGAGGAAAGCTGTGTGTATTTTTAGGCCACATTGTCCTGTCAGAGGCAGTAGAGAAAGCTGAGAAGAAACATCCATCTCCTAGTTGTCAGGTCGTAGTGCAGGGGATACTGTAGCAAGAATGGTTTGGCTGTTGAAAGTGGCATAATTTGCCTTGTGCTATGGTACATGTTATTAAGGCTGCTGTTTAATGTTCTTTTCCAAGGAGGTTGTCTCTGGTGTTTTTATCGTCCAGGGAAATGTAGTACCAGAAATGATCACATTCCTGGCAATTTTCTTTGAAAATGGTAAACTTTTGCAGAGTTTACTCTCTCTTCTATTAGGGTTGATAATGAGAAGTTGTGAGGATTATTAAACACTCCTAGCTTTCAGTAGGAACTTATTTAGCACAGATGTTTCTATAATTGCAGTACACTGGGAAAATTCACAGTGTTCAATGGCCCAAAACTCATTATTACTTATTACTTCTACCTGTGTATTGTGGTGCTAGTAAGCTGGGCTGAAATGTTTAATTCAGCAAGGGCTATAGCTGTGGATTTCAGCTACTTTAGAAGACTACTGAAAAGAAGTTATTAGGTGTTCTGCTCAAACCCTTATACTTATCAATCTTTTAACCATTGCCTGGTGCCTTGACATACTCTTTTTTCTGGGTTCAGCCCATATCGTTGCATTAGATTACTCCAGACAATTCCTTAGCTTATGGACATGAGGAAAAAATAGAATTTTAAGAGACTTTTAAAGCAAACAACATAACTAACCATCGTGTTTTATTGGGATAGAAAACGTAAAATACATACAACTGTATTTAGCTTTCTACTACTTCTTCATAAAGTGCAGCTCTCTTGTCTTGGCAGTAGTGCTTGTATTTTTAATGAAAGCTTGGCAATGTTTAAGAACAGGAGTTTGAAAGATGTGTTGAAAGTACTCGTAAAAAGCCACTAAAGTGAGTGCAGAAACTTCTTCATATTCCTAATTCTCTACAATCTTAAAACCAACACTGTAAAAAGATTCCCCATTGCATCCTTTATTTCCCTAAGGTGAAGAGCAACTGTTTTGGCTTGACTACATATTTGCTGAGGGAAAGTTTGACAAATGTATCCATATGAGCTTAGCTAAGGTACTCTCTCCTTGAAGAGGACCAACTTGTTCTGGTTTTACACTAAACACTCAAAGTTCTATGTCCCAGGAATCTTCGGTCTTGGGCAAATAGGAACTGTGGGTTACTCTAACTCCCTGACCACTTAAGGTTCCTATGTTTTGTTAATACATCTAATTCCACACGTTGAAGTTTCTTGGGCATGTCAAAGATTGCTGTTTTTTCTCTGTATTTTGGAATAGCTTAGGATTTACACTCAATGCAAAAAAAAAAAAAAGAGAGAGAGAGAAAATGAACATGACTTTAATGACAATTCTCATGCATGAGAGCCAATCATAGAAACTATCAGAGACTAAAGAATACATTTGATTAAGTTCAGAATTAGTAGATCTCAAATATATAACACCTGTAGTCCTAAATCAAGGTGAGAAATTTTTGCTTTTCATATACATTTGCTTGTAATTAAATTGATACAGGTCATATTTATTTGATGATAGCAAAACAAATATTACAGAATAATGTAGTGGATTTGGATAATTTAGATTTATACTTGTACATTTATCTGAATATTCTCATACTTTAATCTGAAGATAAGTATATTTTTTGTCTTTTAGTCTTTGCCTCATTCATTTTGAATGGCTGCTTGGCCCCACAAATATACAAATTCAGACGGTAATAGTGATGGCCCCATTTCTAATTTCTTGCTTTGCTGCATATAGACTGTAAATAATTTTTGAAAACACTGAAGTTTTACCAAATCTTTAAAACTCAACTTAGATTAGTAAGTTACTTATAACAAAGAGTAATATAAGACATATTTCACTTAGGAAGCTTGTGGAAAATATTTGAGAAAGCTAGCGCCACCTTCCTTAGTTGTTATTTTGACAAATAGCCACAAGCATGTACATTTTATGGATGTTCCTATTCCACACTTCTGCAAGTGCTGCATAATGATAAAGTACATGGACGAGACTGAATCTTTTTTCTTTAACAGCAGGGAGAGGAGCATTGAGCTATTTTCCATTGGAATTACGTTACAAAGGAATATTTGAACTCTAGTTTTGGGTTAAGATATACATTTTTCTATACGTCAAAAGACTAATATAACAATGCTTTGGCTTTAAGAAACCAGATTTTGAGCATTATTTAAAAATATTCCATTTTTTGAATATTAAGTAATAACTAACCAAAGAGATATTCCATTGTTCAAAGTGCTAGACAAACTTCTGCATGCTGATTTATTTTTAATTATAGTATGGCATCTCAAGATTAAGATATTTATGAAAATTGTTTCATTAGAATTCAAACCTTTCCGTTTTCAGAGCTTTCTAGTAAGATCTAAAATGTTTAATCCACTTGATCACGAAAACAAACTATTAGGAAACAAAAAATAGTCTTTGTATTATTTGTAGTTTCCAGCTTCAGATGGTACTTGGGAGCATATGGGTCTGAAAAATGTAAAAGCGAATTAAAAGTTCACCAAAGTTATTTGAGTATCAACTTAATATCAATCTGACTCTGTGCTGGGGATCAGATTTTTAAAGTCAGAGGGCAGAAGGAAACCTCAGCTCCCACTTAAAATTTTGTTTGCATATGTTCACCTCTCATTCATTTGGAGGTAATTATTTGAAGCTCTAAATCAAGTTCTTCTTTAAGATGGAAAATAAGTGGCAGAGATAAATCCAAAGTTAGTGACACTTGCACACAATATGCCAGCCTCAGATGGAGTTATCAGCATTTCATCTGCACTGCATTGTGCTGAAATTCTTCTCGCCCATTCCTTCCCTGGAATACGCCTGTTGAAGAGCCGCAATAATAACTACTCTGCCAATTAAGGTTGTTCTACCTGGGGCCAGCCAGAGCTTAGTTTGGGGACAAGGTCACTTGCTGGGATAGAGTTGTAGTTCCCCAATTACTAGTAGTTCCACTACCTCTTCTAACTTGTCAAATAATGAGGAGACTTTGAAGGCTAAATCCAGCAGTAGCTCCTAGCGGGGTTAATGCAGAGTGAATGACAATGATACCTCAGGAATGAGAGTCTGACAATGTCTGTCAAGCTCTGTTCACAAGGATGAAGAAGTTCATTGCTACTTAACGCTAGTTGGGAAAGGTATTGGTCTTAATCTTATCAGTGAAAAAGGACCACATTACTCACTTTGGCAGAAATTCATTAACTCCTAAATACCACCCATGTAAACTGGGCATGAACTTAAAATCCTAATGACAGAAGTTGAATATGCTGCAATAGGGCAGCTCATTCTCAAAACTATGTCACTTCCAGTCTACTTCTCATGCCTTGACTTTCTAGTCAATAGCTCAATAGCTTTTTTTCTTTTTTAGAGTTTCTAAGTTCCAAGTTTAGTGATGAATAACAGTGGTTATACAACAATTATTTTTAGTACTCATTAGTAACACAACTGAGAGAGTAAGAATAACAAAATTATGCTCCCAGATGAAAAACAGAAAGGTTTTATACCAGTGATAACAATTTTCACTGCTGACTCCATTGGTAAATAATTTAACTGAACATTCAAAACAACAATAACTCAACAAAAAGCCCTATGAAATTATTCTATGATTAGCCATTCAACATTTGTAGGAAATTGACTAGATGGCCTGAAAACTAATGTTTCCCAAGCCTAAACTGTATTTTTAAAACTTGTGCTCAAAGCTGAATATGTAATGTAGCAAAGGAGTTTTAGCGGCTAAATTCTTTTGCCTGTGTTTTTCTTTCACTCATGTTTATTTATTGAAATAGTGAAGGGTACTGCTATCCTTTGATTATGCTTGGATCCTCTGTATAAAAGATTGAGAGAGCAAATGGCCTTTTTGGCTCCTAGGGATGTTCTGACTCACTCTCCAAATTCTGCTGAAGTTTGCTTTGCATAAATGGACAAAGCTTCACTTGGTGATGACAAATATACACATAGATATTTAAAGAGATGCAAATATTACTTCTTACTCACCTCTTAACTAGTCAACTCATTCAGATCTAAATATCAGATAGTTTTCTTGTGGGGAAAATAGTTCTGGATGTCCAGGATTATCTATAAAGTTGAAAAAAGTAGTACTTGAATAAACAAATGAGAAAATACGCTTTTTTTCTTAAAGAACAGAGCCTTCTCTCAAGTTTTGATTCTTGGGCTCCAAAATATTAATTTACCATTTGCTTTTGACACTTGGTAAATTCGTTAAGACCAAGAAGGGCATTTTCTCATATTTTTAATACTTATTTCATAGCACAAGGGCTTGTAATGAATTTCAAAGTTTCAAGTTTCCTGTGGGAAATTAGATGCTGCAAAATAGCTATTGGCCACAAAAAATTAATTTTAATTTTGATAAATAAACAAAATTTCAGTTGGGTAACATATGTACATATTTTAAAGTGGCTCTTTTAATATTACTTAGAATTCTATCAGCTCCCTGGGATACATTCGGGACTACTAGTACATATACATCATCTTGATTCCTATTGAGTATTTTGTGGATTGTCAGTAGCCAAAACTGTGATGGAGAGGGCAAAACAGAGACTGTGGTACCTGATTTATAACAGTGCTTCTGAGGCACTTTTCTGTATGGAGTTCTCTCTCTTTTGTTTACCCAGAACAGTATTTTCCTTTGTTGATAAAGCTCTTCTTCTTCTATAATTGATTCTAGTTCCTATTACTAAAAATTATTGAACCTAATATAAGCAAAACACTTTGCCTTGGGTGTCCCGAGTCTGGTTCATAGTGAGGAGGTACTCCTTGTCCTCTATGGAGGATCTCTTTTTCCTTACTGAGTTGCTGGGACATTGTCAAGGACCTGGTTGAATTCTGCACCACTGTGAAGCAGTCCTTTCCTTCCAGGGTCAGGTGTGGGCCATGTGGTTTGGAGAAGGTTGCCGTGGCTGCTCCTCTCCTCTTTGCACAGCTTCTCCCTCCTACTCTATCCCAGGCCTGCACCCTCCCTTCTCTCTGCCATTCTGCTCCTCTCACAGAAAGTTTCCTGCTCTTCCCCTCAGGGCCCCAAATGTCAGCTAGCTAATCTGACAAATTAATCTATGCTAATCTGCTCATGGGGGCTTGGAGGCTCCCTCCAGGTAACATAGACATGCATTTTAAATAACTATGAGTCGTCACCTATTCTGAACATCCCACCCACCATTTGGTGTATAACCAGTTGGTGACGCTCGGGGGTGACCATAGAGAATGCACACTGGAGCCAGCAGGCCTTTAGAGGCCTCTCTTGTGGTCTATCAGCCCACCAGAAGACCGCCTGCTTCACAGAATCTGAGACATCTCAGGGCAGCCACTCTACAGTCCCTTTAGGGTTTTGCAAATATCCTGGGTCTATAAAATTAACTCTGTCCAAGTTGGATGGGGTGCATAGTGATGGATGACTCTCTCAGTCTCCCTTTGTTTGCCACAGAACACCTTTTCTTAAATCTATTTTCAGACCTGCTGGAGCCCAAAGTATAGAAACAAGTTTCAAATAATTAGAAAAATACAAAAAACTTTTCTAGCTAGCATTTTCTGTCTAAGAAGAAGTCATATGCATTGGGCTGATTTTCTGAACATGTGTACTACCATAGGCTGGATGTTTAATGATGATAAATGCTCACATTTATTATTCCAGCCACAGCACTAACATCATTAAACACATTATCTCATTTAATTCTCGAAACAGTCAAGAAATGACACTATTATTATTCATATCTTACAGATTAGAATAAGGGCATCTCACTGATATTATGTAAGTTGTTCAAATTTACGCAGTGACAAAAAATGGAACCAGAATCTGCACCCACATGGTCTAATGTTAGTATCTGTGCCCCTTTCACTAGAGCACACCTGTGCTCCATTCATCTTGTGACGTGTTTGGGTTGCGGCCTGGCATCATCACTCTGTTCAGTGATTAGGGCAGGTTTTCTTACTAGCTGGCACCTTGGCTGGGCCCTGGCTTTCCTTAGTTGCTCTTCTTAGATATGAAACAACTTTTTAAGACATTAAAGCAGTGATGCGCAACCTTTTTGGCACCAGGGACTGGTTTTGTGTAAGACAATTTTTCCACAGATGGGTAGCAGAGGGGCATGATTTCCAGATGAAACTGTTACATCTCAGATCATCAGGCATTAGTTAAATTCTCATAAGGGGTACACAACCTAGATCCCTCACATGCACAATTCACAATAGGGTTCATGTTCCCAATCTAACACTGCGGCTTATCTGACAGGAGGCAGAGCTCAGGCGGTAGTGTTAGCTGGCCGGCAGCTCACCTCCTGCTCTGCAGCCTGTTTCATAACAGGCTGTGGACAGGTACTGGTCCGCAGCCTCGGGGTTGGGGACCCCTGCATTAGGGTATCAACCATCTCTTCTCATTGGTCAGGTCATTTAGCCAGATTACCTTATGCAGATGAAAAAAAGGGGTGGAAAAAATAATAAATGGTTTAGTGTCCTATAAAGAATTAGAATAAAAGGTTTTCAGTGAATTTCCTCGAGTATAGAAACTGTTGTGTAATATTTCTTGTAAACGTTCAAAACTTATTTCTTCGTTATCACCAGTTTTTGAGAATGTAGACAAATGGAACATTTAGATATAATTGGTAGCTGTGATTAGTGACATATGTTTAGAAATTAGGGGCATTCAAAGACATTTAGTATAACCATTTCATGAATTTTTTTTTTTTTTTTTGAGACAGAGTCTCACTCTGTTGCCCAGGCTGGAGTGATCTAGGCTTACTGCAACCTCTACCCTCCAGGTTCAAGCGATTCTCATACCTCAGCCTTCCAAGTAGCTGAGATTGCAGATGCCTACCATCATGCCTGGCTAATTTTTGTATTTTTAGTAGAGATGGGGTTTTGCCATGTTGGTCAGGCTGATCTCGAACTCCTGGCCTCAAGTGATCTGCCTGCCTTGGCCTCCCGAAGTGCTGGGATTGATTATAGGCGTGAGTCATCGCAACTGGCCAATTTCACGAATTTAGTTATCTATTATAAATGTTATACTTGTGTGTTTTCAAGTTTCTTTAACATACTACAATTTTTTTTTCTCCTATAGCTGACTTCCTTATCATATAGTCATAAACAAAAATTTAGTGGTTAAAAAAGTCCCCATGAAAAGGAAAGGAAGAAATAGATCTTAAACCCCAAGACAGCCGATTGAATTTAATAGTCATTGTTAGTTTTCTATTAAACAGTGGTATAGAGAGGACAAAATGTATTGTCTTTGAAGCTGCACTTTCTGTTTTATCTACTAAATTCTCCATAGACTAATGCTGATAGAAAAATATGTATGTTTGGATTTAGATATACTTAGTAATGTGACATAAACAGAGAGAGAGAGAGGGAAATCTTGTTTTCTTCTGGCTTTTTTCAGAGGTTCACTAATTGGGTTTGCTGTGAGTATTACTGGGTTCTGTTTAAGATCAGGCCTTTTCCTTGATATGCAAGATGTTCCTTTTTGTAAACAAAACACTAGATTTTCATTCAAAAGAAAATGTGTTATAATCAGTAGACATTTCTTCTTCTTATTTCTATTTGAAGATTCCCACTAGGTCTCTGACATGAAGTACAAAGGGATTTGCCTCCAGCATGAATAATTTCACAAATTGAAAGAGTTGACTCTTTAACATTCTTTAATTCAATAAGCATAACATATTTTTATTTTAAAAATCATAACATCCTAATCCACATAAGTGGTCCAGAATGGCATGGTCATACAAGAAGAAAAAGGAAGCATTTGTCACATGCATATAAAAGGTGAATACAATTTTGAGTCATCCTCCTTTATATTTTTTTCCTTTAGAAGATGTACGTTTCCTAGGAGGCAGGTTTATACTACCTCTTGGAATTATTTGACATGAGAAGTGTATTAATTCTTCTATGCCTAAATGAGCAACATCCAATAAGAGCATATAATAGCTTTTTAACCAGTGGATATATTCCAGTAAAATGTTCTTACCCACAGAGCTTACCTACTTGAGCAACTATCAAATATATCAGAAATCTTTGCATATTTATGTTGAAAATCAACAGTCTTTTTTGCCTTTGAAGTACAATACCAATATTTACATGATAGTTCTTCAACTAGGCAAAATAATGACGTGCTATTTAAGAAATGAAGTGGATTGAAATCTAAGGAAACCTCAACCATGCATATAAAAGATTAAAATATTTATATTAACTGTGCTTAAGAGCCTTTTAAACTGTCTTTATAGAATTTATGGAATGCTATTGTTTTGTATTATTCGAAAAAACACTCTGCCCTTTTATTAGACTGTGATTATTGGCTGAACGATTGTTCACCACTATAGACTCTAGATTCTATAAAGCCTGAACTCTTCTAGTTTCCTATCTTAGAAAATAAAGAGAATTTTCTCTCTCTCATTCTCTCAATATTAATAATAGCAAATGACCCTATTGCTGAAGACTTGGAGTATGTTCTTAAGGAAAAAAGTAACGTGAGGCTTCTGATCATAAGAGAAAGATTCTGTATTTGCATTGGTTTGGGGTTCAAGCTTATATTTAAAAGGTCAAATTTAATCCAAAGCCACTTTAGTGAATCTCTCATGAAAGTTCAACGTTTTTATTTTCTTAATGACTTGATCATTTCATTGAAGGAATCACAATCACAGAATTACAGAAAAGAACCAAAAAGCTGAAAGATATAAAAACAATTAGATTATATATATAACTATTTATATATTAATATATATGCATATATATTTTAATAAATATATTCTTAACAGCAATAGAAGATGGGTAATTCAATATGCTACTGGTGACTTAGGTCACCAGGCTGGCACAATTTTTCTGAAAGACAAGTTTAATATTATTTACTAAAAGTGTTAAAATAAGCACCCTTTAACAGAGCAATTATCCATCAATAAATTTATTCTAAGTGCAATTAAAGATATATGCAAAAACATCTTCAGCAACACTCTTATTATTGCTATGTTAAATAATACAAATTTGGAAACTACCAAAATTTTAAAGAAAAAGGTTATCAGCTAAACCAAATGACATGCATAGAACAGAACATTACATAACTCAAATATATACGTAAAAGTATACTTACTAATGCAGAAAAATGTTCATGATAAAATATCAGGTGAAACGTGTAGCTAACCAAACAAAGGGTTGATACTAGATATCTCTGGCTATATGGGGCGAAGAGGAATTGTTTATGTGGTATTTCTATAATAAGTGTACATCTATTTTATACATTATTAATAAAAATAAACTTATTTATAATAAAAATGATTCTTTAATTTCTAAGCTTGAATGGAAATCTGAAATTCAGGAGGACAGCTTCAACCTGAAGTCAAAATTCTATAGTATAAATAATTTTTTTAGTTATTTAGAAAATGAATATTTTCTGATAAAATATCATAGGTGATAACTGTGTTATTTTTCTGATGTGGAATCTTTTCTCTGGCTTACCTGAACATACGTAAAACAAAGACTGGCTCTCTATAGGGAACATTTGATGTTTTGTTTGTCTAAAGGGGTAGTGGAATAATTAGAAGTAAATGCTTAGCTAGTGGTGCGCTGGTTAATGTTAACAAATGACTTTAGAGGTGAAGGAGGAAGGTTTTATTTGTAGCATTTGCTGAATGGTGTCAGTAATCTCATCATGGGTAATTTTAAGCTAGCAACATGACATCACTGAGTTGGGAGGAAACATGCACCCCCCATTGCACGCTGGTACTATCCACCTCCAACACACCCTGCGGGAGGGTCTGTGAGTGGGCGGAATGTGGCAAAGTAGGTGCAGAAGCACTTCAGATTCAAGATTAAGCTTGGGAAAGTTTAGGAAGTGGAAATCTTCCTAAGGCAAAGGAGAAAGAGGAAGTGTAAAAAATAGTTATGTAGTTAAATATAGCACACAGGATAAGACTCTTGGGAATTATTGAGAATGGCAATGGACTTTATCGTTTAGAAGAATCAACTGTAGCACCTGTTAAGCAAACACATTCCTAAGTCTCTCTTTGGAGCTGGGCTCAGGAATATGCATTTTAGAGAGACCTTCTGGGACCGCCGTAATCAGTCAAAAAATCTGAACTAAGCTGTCAACATTGCAGTCCTGTGTGATGTCCTAGAGAGCTTAACACTTGGGAATACTTTATAATTAGCATAAATATATAGTTATCCTCAAAACTAGGATACTTTTGAGTATGAGGGGGAGTGTTCAGTACAACAGGTATAATCTAGGATTGTCTTGGGAAAAGTGAGTAAGTGTTGACCTTCCTCATAAGCATCCTCAGGAGATTGCAATTATGTTGATCAGTATCTGTAAAACCACAGGGTGGGTGAACATGCACATACAAAAAGTGTCTCATTCTGAGCCCTCTGAAACAAAGAAATTCTTTGGTTCTTGCCTGAAACATGATGACTCTCACTGGGTTCCTGAAGTGAGGAACTCTTTTTCAGCACCACCCCATTCAGCAGGACAAGAGAGCATTTCCAACAGTCAGTACAAATTCAAATTAGCCATTCACAGGTCAAGACTTAAGATCTTTGTATACTTCTCTTTGTATTTACATCTGCCTTGTTTAGAGCAGTATCTCCCGTTAGAGAGTGTTTTGACCCAACTTGCTTATACAGAGAACATGACAATCAGAGAACCACTGAAAGGATTTTTTTCCCCTGTCCCACTTGTACGATGTCTGCTCTTGTCAGCGTTAGTATTCATCCTATGGGGTTACTCTGTAATGACCTTTTACTTTTTTCCATAATAGAACCAGAAGGAATTGTGACCCACATCAAGTAAATGTTGACGTCTATAAAGAAAGTTCAGTGTAATAGTGCAGAGGTGTGGGGCATCACAACTGAGAGTTGGCATGGCCTGCTTAGATGGCAGGGAGGACATTACACTTGGGAAGAGTAAAACTCAGATTCAGCTAACTAGCTCTGATGTCCGGTTATTTTGTAAAAGTACCATGGCAGGAACTTCTATTAGATGGAGATGATGATTTAGGTCAGATTATTATTATTATTATTGCCTAGACTACCAAATGCAGGCAGCTCCCTAATGCTTGGTCTAGTAGTTCTCTACCTAGAGACTGTGTGCTCTTAAGTAGTGATGCTTGGGGCAGAGCTATTGCAAATGCCTCAAGGACATATATAACAAAGTCTTGATTATATATAAAATCATAATAAATCATATACTAACTTTAAGCTATATATAGATGATATTGTGATTAATACAGTAGAGTTTAAAACAGAAAAAAATTTACTGACTTTATATACACACGTACGTATATATATTTACTTATACATATATATTACTTTATACATTCCTCAGGACAGTAATATGAAATCAGCCATTCGTGAGTGGAGAAAACATTTTTAGATTAAAATATACTTTCTAATGTAAGATGTTTCCATAGCATAAATGGAATTGGGGACAATATAAATAATATTGTCCCACCTCTCACTGTGTAATTGGTCTGGTAAACTTTGGTTCTAGGATTCTGGGAAAAGGTATAGAAAGGCCAAGTGTAAAATATGAATAAGACAGGAGAATGACAAGTAATGGAGATAATGATTTTATTAGCTCAGTGAAATGGAAATGGTGGACTGGTCCTGGAAGAGGACTATGGGGATAATGTCCTGGGCCTTAGAAATTCAAGAGAGAATTGGTCAGAGGTGGGCATTGAAAAGGTAACCTTTGCGGGCAATTTAAATTTCATAATCTGTTAGATGATAGAATTATGCATATTCCTTTGTGTGTATTTTTCTATAAATATCAGTGACATTGTAGAAGTCTTTATAATAGGTCTATTTATTCAGAGCACTTCTTTAATAAGACCAACTATTCCTGCTGACCTCATTGTATAAAAAGCCCACAGCCTCTCTAAAACACCCCTTTCAGGGACAGGGAAAGCCAAACTCCATGTGTCCCTTCTCCTTCAGGCAGGTTATTTAATCCAAACTCTTCATCCGCCTATAAAGCAGTCCAACACCTGGATTTATTTACTAGACTTTCCCAGATCTTTACATTTTTGAGTGCCACCATTTTTGCACATTATTTTTCTGAGAAAGTTAGACTTCTGCCCTTGCAAAAAGAACATTATTTTCTCATCTCTTATCTTACGGGTTTATGTAAGTTGACATTTGCTGTTCTTCCTCTCTCACTCCTAGCTGTTTGAAAGGCTTGCCCATTTGCTGTTCTTCCTCTCTCACTCCTAGCTGTTTGAAAGGCTTGCCCAGGGTCTCCTTGGGGACTTGGTTTCCAGACTGAGGGCTGGTGTTGCTTTCAGGGTGAAACCTCCCAATCTCTTCAAAGAACAGACAGGTTTGACCCCAGAGCCCTTATTTATAACAGCTAGTCACAAAGTGGCCGCCTTACATGACCTATGGAATGTGCCTGGCACTATTCTCAGACTCCATAGACCAGTGCTCAAGGGCAAATGACACATTTCCTGATTAGGAATGAATTCCTGCAACAACATTATTAAATATTAAGAGCCACAAATAGATCCATCGAATGGTTATGTGACCCCCCCCAAAAAAAATCTTTTAGCTGTACTTTTGCATTCTTAAAATCTGCAGCATTTAAAATTGCTAAGGAATTGAGATATTTCTTTAAAATGCTTCTTGGATTTGCTTTTAACTATTTGAGACACCTAGAGAGGATAAATATAGAATCCTGAAAATGACAAATAAGTGTATTTGAGAGGTGAACAGCTGGGTGATTTTTTTTAACCTTCCAAGTCTCAGTTCAGTGTCTCTATCTGTTGATGAAGAGAATACTGAACCATGTAGTCATTCTGGGAAAAGTACAGTGAACACAAATGCTATGTCTTCTCTTCAGGAAGTTTAGATATCTGAGTCATTCTTTTAAATACATATTAAATCAGCAACATGTTAATTAAAACCTATTAATTTAATTGTTTTGAATTTTTGTAGCTCTACAATATAACAACAAAGGGTAGGAAAGTAAAAAATCAAAACAAAAACCAATGCCCATGTGGTTTTATTTATACAGTGTCAGACAATAGGTTTTTAAAATATATTTTTCTAGCAGTTTGAAAAGCTAGTTTTAGAAATATTGTTGTATTGTGTATATGTGATTATTACATATAAAGGACTTGCTATATTTTCAAACAGGAAGTCTTATGGATTTTGCCAATCCAGTTTGAATATGCACCTGAAAGATTAGTACCCAATATCTGAGTAACTTTAATAATTTTTCTCTGTAACTTGAGAGTGTAAAAATCTCAAGGATCACATAAATCAAGGAATCACATGATTTAAGCCTCTGTATTTTTTTTAACAGGAATTCACAGACTTAAGTTTTCTGATAAATTAGAGGATTCATGTACCCAGAATGTATTCAAAAGATCTACTGGTTCCATTAACTTACTGTGTCAGTAACAACTAGTGCAAATCCAGAGCCTTCCCTTTGGGTTTGGATCTCCAGCTACTTGAGTGGTAACTTGATAGTCTTCTCTGTTACATATTTAATTTACTTAAAATAATCTGTCCATGGAGACAGATTAATTTTTCTCTGCCTCCTCCTTCACATCTTCTTTTTATGGCCAAGTAATGGCTATAGAAGTGAATGATTTCAATCATTTGAGTATTTAAGTCCTAATTGCTAATTTTGGCTACACTACCATACACTTTTTATATGAAGTTTATTGAGTAATCATACTCTCAGGTACGCTCATAGATTTACTTTGTTGTGAACCATATTATTATATTATCTGTCCAAGAAAAAAAAAGTATGTCAGTGAGGAACTATACTTCTGAGAATCCATGGAAACTTCAGGGAAGAGTTTATCAGAAGTAAAAGATATTTGGAAGGAGAGTGTATTGCAAAATATATTCCAAATGTCAAGAGACACAATATAAACTAGGCAAAACTTATAGTGGAAGTGCTGTGTTTCAGGACATGAAAATTTATTTCCAAAAGGAAAATAGAGGTAGGCAAACAATCTAGAGGATTCAAAATGCTCTACTCTTTCAACTAATATAAATGAGAAATTTGCTTTTTTCCCCAATTTTCCTCTTCTATGTGTATACGGACATAAGGTGTTCTGAATCAAAATTTGTTTTCTATAAGGGCAACATAACTTTATTTACAGAATATGTTAAATAGCAAGGCACAATTTGAGAGCAATACAATTCATTACAATGTAATGATCCAGTCATTATTTGCTGCTGTCAGTTTTAGTTAGCTCAGTTTGTCATAAAACATTTCCATGACATGTTAAAAAAGAATACAAATGACATATCAACCTTTCTTTCGCTCTTCCTTGACACCCCATTCCCAGCACCCTCCTACCCCGATTCACCATAACTTTTTTCCAAAGAGCAATTAAATCTTCAGTGGAATATAATCTGACCACTTTCAGGCTCCTTTCTCTGAAATCTAAACTTTAATACTATAGCTGCCTATATACCTTTTCCAGATGAATGATGCCAGTACTATTTGTGCCACTACAGTTAGGAGTCTCTTAACATTTCCATTCTAAACACCTATTTTCAAAGGTTTATAACTCAGCTATAAAAATGTGCTCCAGGCTGAAACTTAGCATACAGGATCCTAGCCCAGGAGTAATCTTTTACTCTTTTATGTATTAATCTTGAAAAAATGATATGGCTGTATTTTAAAGAACTGGAATGTTCACACTAATAGAAGTTAAGGACATAGGGTATGAGGAAAGATCACAGTGCTAACAAGTCCCCTCATCTATAATAGGTTTACCTGAAATTCAGTTTCACAACATCTCCCTCCTGCTTTCCATTCTCTCTGCCCAGAAATAAATCTAGTTTTATTGCTTTTATTCTTTGTTTCAATAGCCTCATTTGGGGAACTTATTTAGTAGTTATGCCACCTTGATCTATGGTCCTATCCACAGGTGGCCTACAGGTATGAATTGGCCTCTTCAGGGCAACATCAGATTTGAGAGAGCAGGTGCCATGAGTCTTTCTGAGTTTGTCATTATTATTGATGTTATTATTTAAATGTGAAGACAAATGAGAACATATTAATTTGTGTTGACAGTAATTAAGAGTGACTTGAAAACTGAATAATTCAAGTAATTATGCCTTACTTTTCTAAATTGCTTCCCAAGACAGTGGTTTGGATATTTATACTTTTATTCTAGATGTTTGTTTTTCTTCTGATCAGCAGTATTAAATATTTGAGCTCTTCCTCTATGAATATAGTACATTAATAACAAATCAATTGGTGATCAAGTGTTTTTGTAAATATCTGATACTTTGATTATGTTAGCTTGGTTTTCATCTCCCACAATAATCCTTGGGTTTTCAAATCTAGATGATTTTAGATATTTTGATATCTAAATTACAGATTTAAAACTATTGATTACCAGCCTCTAATTAGGAGTTTTTATTTTCCTGGTGTATTTTATGTAGTTCCAAACTTTATTCTCTCAAAACATTCATATTTCTCCTTGGATGTTTTTATCATCTATAATGACTATCATGATATTCATTATTTGAAAACAAAAAGAGGACTCCCTTGAATTCAGAGATTTGGGATGATACTGCAACATTATCAAGGCATATGGCTTTGTTTACATTTTTATCATTAACAACTATTTTGTGACTAATAAAGTGTCATAGGTAGAAAAACAAACAAAAGCTACCACTCTCTCTAAAGGTGCTACTTGGAAGAACAAACATGCACTTCCATATGATAACAGTCCCAGGTAAGATGAGAAAACTGGAGAGCTTTACTTTTCCTACGTATCTCAATCTGACATGAGGCATGGGCATCAGGAAATTCATTAACTGTCAGGTTTGGTGGATAGGAGTGGTTTTCACAAAACTTGCTTTTTATTATATAGAACAGCATTCTTTCCAAGCCTCTGAGACTACATGGCCCTTCTGTACCCATTACCCCCTCCAATGGCACCCTTTTCAGTTTGCCTTCTCTGATCATGGGAATTGGCAGAGTGGGAAGATGAAAAGTGACAGGCTTGGTGAGGCCAGGAAGGCATAAGTGAGGCAGAGAGAATGAAGGAGAATGTGTGAGCGCATATGTATCCTTCAGGATTCTCAGTTATTCTTTACCATCTGTCCATAGTGTGAATTCTTTAATAACTACTTCAGAATGTGTAACATTTACTTGGAAATTCACAGATGTATTAAATTACAAATATACTTTAAATCAAATATAATCAAATTTACTTTCATATTCAATGTATTATATATATGTATATATGTAAATAAATACATGTATGTATACACACATACACTCATTCATTCATCAAACATTCATTGAGTGTCTTAGTCTATATCCAGCACTGCAATAGAAGCCAAGAAGACTTGTACAAAATGAGCTGGCTTTCAGAGGGGGTGGGGAGAAATCCTTAGAAACAAATAATTTTAATGTGATCAGTTCAAAGTGATAATTAGAATGCATTGTGATGGAGCTCTACCAGTGAACAAAAAAGGAAGGAACTCTTTCTGGAGAAGCTGGGAGTGCCTCAAATAGGTTAGGGTCTTTGTGTTGGACCTTGAAAGATGGGTAAGTTTTTATAAGAACATGTGCAGACATAGAGGCATGGAAGAAACTTGTAGGTTTGTTTAAAAAGACTAGTTAAGTATGGGCATGAGGGTAAGATATTTTGATCAGAATGAATGGGAGATACAGCAAGCACGGTAAATGATTAGGTTTCAGAGCATGTTTTATATTATAGGAAGATATTTGTACTTCATCCAGTAGGTGACAGGGAGGCACTGAAGATTTTTAAGTAGTGACAAAATGTGATCTGCTTAGAAAGATAGCTCTGGTGGCAGTGAGGAGACTGGAAAGGAGGGGTATAGATTGGGGAAAGGAAGACAAATTTCAAGTGTTTCTGTGGTAATTCAAGGCCAATATGGTGGATGAGAATCAGAGCTGATGTAGTGGCAAAGCAACTGGGAAGAAAGAATGAATTATAAAAAGAGGCAGGACATCAGGATCTAGAGTCTCAGTGTTAGGAGCGAAAGAGAAGTAACTGTCAAGATGACTGACAAATACTTAGTTTGGTTAACATGGTGGATGAAGTTGTTATTATGTTAGGAGTTTAGAAAGCTTGGTTGGAGTGTGAGAGAGATAATGAATTTATCTGCAAGTTTGGAGTGCTTGCAGATCCTCCAGGGCAGATCAAATAAGCAGGTTTTGTTGTTGTTGTTGTTGTTGTTCTTCTTCTTCTTCTTTTTTTTTTTTCCTTTTTGTGGAGAACAGGGTCTCACTATATTGCCCAAGCAGGTCTTGAACTCCTGGGCTCAAACTATCCTCCTGTCTCTGCCTCCTCAAGAGCTGGAATTATAGGCATGAGCCACCACACCTGGCCAAATAAGCAGTTTTAATTGTTGGATATGTTCTTAAAAAGAGAGCTTGGAGGTACAGATAAATTCATTTTTTAACTGGTTTTTCACTGCGTGTTAGGCATTGGAGATGTAGCAATAAGTAAGTCATATTCCTCATTCTCACTCATGAAGCTTACTTGGAGAGAAAGATAAGTATTCAAACACCCCTCAATATGGTTGCATTCTCAAAAGGGTGAGTATACGGTGATATAAAGAAAAAAGGGATATCTAATCTTTCAAGGCTAATGGGAGGCCCTCCAAGTTGGCTTTCCTAGGAAGCCACAAATGACCTGAGGCCTGAAAAGTAAGTAACATTTATTAAGGTGATGAGTGAGAAAGGGACCATTTTAATGGATTTGAGATTGATCAAATAGTAGATGAAAGTGGGAAGGGACAGGAGATTGCTTTGGGTGAGAAATGGAGTGAAATGAGACAAACACATCTGGAGGATGAAATCCTGGGGACATCAAGGTTTAACATGCGGGGAAAGGAGAAAACAGGTTTAGAATGACAATTCAGTAATGGAAATAAACAGTGTTGAATGAGGTAGAACCCAGAAATGATGTTATAAAAGTGAAGAAGGAGAGAATGCTTAATAATGTCAGATGCTCTAGAGAGGGAAAGCTGGAAAATAAATTTCTTCTAAATGTCAGTCAGTAAATATTAGTTAAGTACCTGTTATCTTTCTAGAAACTGTCCTAGATACTGTGTTATTAATGGGTAAACAAGACAGACACAGTCCCTGCTGTGGAAGGACTTGTAGTCAAATGAACTAAAGATGGAAAGGATGTTCTTGGGGATTTGGTGAGTAGGACTCAATTGATAAAACATAATGACTGCTCCCTATTTCCCCCACTCCCTACCCCAGGCCCTGGAAACCATTAATTTCCTTTCTGTCCATGGATTTACCTATTCTGGATATTTCTTATAAATGGAATCATATGTGTCTGATTTCTTTCACTTAGCATACTGTTTTTGAGGTTTATCCATGTATAGCACATATCAGCACTTTATTCATTTTTAGAATTGAGTATTATATCCATTCTGTTGGCACACTGCATTTTGTTTATCCATTAATCAGTGGATAGACATGTGGGTTTTTTCCACATTTTGGCTAGTGTGAATTTTGCTGTTATAAAAATTTGCTTACAAATATTTGTTTGAATACCTGTTTTCAATTCTTTGAAAGAAAGAAATCAGTTTTTACTTATAGGGGAATGAGCCAGTGAGATGAAGAAGATACCAACATATAGGTGAATAACTGATGATGAAGAAATGTTTTGTAGGAGATAAAAAGGGAAAAATTGAAGACCATTGTGTCTGTTTGGAAAGGATTTGAGAAATAGAGGAAGAAACATATTGGTTGTAGCTATCGGCTCTACTAATACACTGCACTTTTACTGAATGTTGGATATTTTACATTAAATGAGGGTGTTAGTTCTTCTAAATATGTTATGTACTATGAACAAGGACCAAATCTTGGAATTATTTCTCGACAAATGAGTCAAAAAATACCAGAATATTTGTAAGCATTTTTAAAGTTTTCATTAACAAATTTGAGAGTGTTACAATGAATACATTGGTCATTGCTTAATAGAGGCATTTAATTTGGATCAATTTCCCACAATGCACTTAACAGGGTTTAACATTCATTTTGTTAAGACACCTCTGAGACCCCATGCTAGATAATAAGGACAGCTGGAAGCTGATTTCATAATTTCTAAATGCAACTGAGGTAGAATTAAAGTGCAAATGCAATTTTTGAAGTGCTTGACACAAGAGAAGCTACAAAATTGCTCTTTGCTCTGACTTGTTTTAATTTCTATATGAATGTTTTATACAGTAGTCTTTTTACTGTTTTTCTAGTCATGAGCAATTATACTTGATGAAAGGGCAATTATCACACATAGAAACTCAGCATTCCAGAAGCTATCAAAATTCTACCATTAGACTCTACCTCCCCTTACCATACCATACCAATCTGCTAGAAAAAAAATTGTGGAAAATTTGATTCAGAAAATTTTAACTTGAATGATGGGAGATGGCAAATTGGGGTATTTTTCTAAATTTAGGATTATTCTCATCCTGAAAACAGTTGATATAGTTATGTTTTTGTTGATTAAATATTAATTTTACTATTGTATTATGCTTCCAATCCCTGAAGCTTCACTTCCAGAAGTTCCATTTATTCTCCACGAGAACAAATGACAAAGACAACACATTCTGCAGGTGTAGGCTCAAGCAACATGGTGGCACTGATTAAATGCATGGAGTCCCAAATGTTCTGTTTTGGGTCTTGGACTCATAGAGTCACTCTCTGCCTCTGACTTGTTCCCCCCTCTCATTTAAAATTAAACGTAGAGCCACTGGCAGCTTTCAGGCTTGATTTTCATTCCAGGCCTAATGGCTTACAGGTGGCAAAAAAAATTTTTTTTCTCAGTGACAACAACATTTTCCCAAGCCTGTTCAAGGGTAATGCCAATGAGAACATTATAAAAAAAAAAAGAAAAAGGACAAAAGGCCATTTAAAAATAAATAAATAAAACCTTTTCTACTTTGTTACATAAAAGCTGTTTCTTCTCTTTTTTTCTTATGTTTGATACATGCGAGCTATTCCATTTATAACTTCAGCTCTTTCGCTCTGGGGTCTCTGTACTTAAGGCTCAGATCTTTTGATGTTTAACTGTTATAAACTGACCAATATTCTGGAGAGACTTATCTATGAAACATACTGAACTGATTTTATGATTAACACTCCTATTTTGCTTCTCCTTCTCCTTCAGAACTTATGTCCAGAAAAAAAAAGAACAAAATCCCCAAAAGTGAGTGTCAATTTTTCTTAATGAATTTCATAACCTATAATGTAGCCCCTGAGTAGGTATTAAAATTATATTGTCGGTGTGTTTAATGGGATTCCTGTTTTTGAAAACACTGCAGAGTTGTGCAAGTGAGTAAAATTCAGTGAAATTATAAATTGTGATATGCATGGTTTCATTGCAATTGTCACTAGTGAAAACTACCTAATAACTAACCTATCATTGTCCTTTCTCACCCCTGAGTTTGAGAAGTCAGGAGGTTTTCCCTATTTAAATCTTTCAGGAGAGATAGTAAAGATTTTTTGGGAAGATGAAAACTTCAAAATGCTTTCATATATTTTAAAATAAAAAACTGTTACCAAAAGTAGGTTGCCATCAATAGCTATAATATCTTAATAAATAAACTCCTAAAATGGTCTAATACATGTTTCTCCTAACAAAGAGTTTAATATTCATAAATAAATATCTGAGATACCTTTTAAGAAAAAAGTCACTGTCACTAAATAGTGTTTACTGAAAATCAGTAATTGTAATTAAATCAGGATGTATTACTTGTTTAACTTACCATCTTTTGTAAAACTTTAGTTCATGTCAATAAGGGCACATCCACATATTAATAACTGATTTCTTTCTTAAAAAAAAGAGAGCTAGGAATAAACTTGTATATTATTTTAGAAGAGAAATAGACAGGTTGGCCTATATAATGTTACTGCTATTTGCATATAAATTACTTCACAGATATAATCAAGAAATATATTTGCAAATAGCAATCATGAAAATAAAAATATTGTGAAAATACAAATATTTATGGGTTTATTGTCTCACTAGTGTATGTATGTATCTAGATTGATACATATGCAGAAGGGAAGAGAGAAGAAAAAGCTATACATAATTATAGGGAAAATTATGAAGTAGGGGAATTTGTTTTTGGTAAATCATTGCCTCATTTTACTCTACACTCCTTTCTCAAATCTAGACTCAATTTGTTCCTATGTGTGGAGCCCCTGCATGCCCTCTCCAGTGAGATGGTGCAATCAAGCCAATTCCTCTTGGAAAAAAACCTCCTTCTCTTGACCTTTCCTAGCATCCTTATCTTTATTCCATTTCCTCAGAACCATGCAACTAATAAACTAATTCATGTCAAGGTGAAAATGGGTGATGGATTCCACAGAGAACATATATTTGAATGGCATCATTAGCTCTCCAAAGATTATGGCCATACCCTCTAAAGTGTGTGGGGATTTCATGCACCAAATAGCCTCCTGTGTGAGACAGTAGACAGATTTTTGATGCCCTTTCTAGCCCATCTTGCAGAATTTTTTTTTATTCTTCCTAAATTTTAGGACTGTCCTTCATAGGCGTGCACCTGCCACATGAAAGCACACCCCTCCACACACTGATGGGGGAGATGAACACCTGTGCATAGTCTATCGGTAACAATGAATAAGGTAGCCATACTTAGCAGTCTTTTTAAATCTAGATTTTCTTTTTAACCTGAGGAAGATAAGAAGCAGATTTCTTTTTTGCAAGATAATATTGTTTAAAACTTGCCTGTAATGCACCCATAATGAATTCTTTGTGTGTGAATTCTAATCAGATCTAAAAAATGTATGTTGTGTAAATGAAGTATAAAATTGAAAAATCAACCTGTCATTGGATGTTTTGGAGTTTTGATCTGATGAGGGAGAATTGTCGATGACTCTACAAAAGAAAAACTCAAACCCTTCCATGAGATAAAGATCTTGAACTTCTTTTGAGGATGCTTGGAAGGGCTCATTTAAGTCAGGTTCCAAACCAGGTGGAAGCATCTGGGAAACACAACAGAACAAAATCCATAAAAAAAAAAAATTCTCCTTAACGGGTAAGAGAGAACCTTAGGGTTCCAATTCCATTATAAAATTCAACACAAAAATGAATAGTAATGTTTATGCTGGAAACACGACTCTTGGAAACCTGTTGACTTGGAGAACAATCTGAAGCTAAGAAAGCGAGCTGACAAATGAAAGCTACTGCAGCTTTAATTTGCATGTTTTTCAGTAACCCCCAAAATGTGGTGGGATGGGATGGGATGGGAGAGTTGGTACTGTTAGACATTTCTCCTCTTAGTCCCTGTTTTGGCTCCTGATTTGTTTAGATCATTTTATTTCAACAAAGTTTCCTGGGATTTGTAAGCCAAAGGGCGAGCTCAAAAAATTCTCTCCCAGGCTGTGCTGAGAAGGCCTGTGCTACCGTTTCCTGAGTTCTGCAGACTCTGAACTCTGTTCTGAAACTGTCTGTACCAACCTTACTTGATTTAAATCAAAGACACATGTAGTGTTGTTATTATTCATGAAGATTATGTTAAACTCCAAGATGCATGGATACATATAATTGAAAAATAAACCTTTATTCTAGGTTTACTCAGTGGCCTCCAAAAGATTAGACTATTACTGTAAGCGGCCCGTTGTTTCTTGCATGTATCTTAGATTTTATTTCCTGTCAGCTATTGCAAGAACTACTAAGAAGAATTAGTTTTACCACACAGTAAATAAATGCTTTAATGCCCTGCATTATTGTTTACACTAAGCTTTGCAAGCACTTAAGCCACAACAGATAATTGTCAAAATGATGAAGCAGTAAAATCACACACAGCCAGCAGTTACAGTGTAGATGTTTTTCCAGGGAACAGCTCATAAGACTTAGACCTTACACTTAGTTTGTTAGTTGGTTAGGAAAAGCAATAATTTATGAAAATGTATCATAAACAACAAAAAGAAAAAAACATGCAGAAAGAATTATTTCAGGACCCAAGTACCCTGCAAGCTCTGCTTATCTAAGCTTTCATATTTATCTCCCTCTATGTGATTTATTTTGCTTAAATCAGGTGTTTAAATCAATACTGCTTGAAAAGTGCCTGTGCGAGACACTACATTGTCATGTATCCATGAAAGAAACCAACGTCTCTTGTGGGAATTCTGCTAATTTAAAAATTAGCACAGGTAAGGGCATTGTTTGCAATATCTGTTCTGAAATAATAGTTTTACCACTTAAATGCATGTCACTCTAGTCTTTTCAGAGCTTGAGTTTTGTCAGTTTTGTATCCTGGGGTGGGGGCAGGAGGATGGGAACTGCCTACCCGCTTGGTTTTAACCACAGAATGTCTGGGTTGCTGCATGTTTTCTTTAACAGGGACATCAGTGAAAATTATGTTCCATCTGTGGTGATGTAGCTGAGTGCAAACAGGACCCTGCTAGCCATTATGTACCTATTAGCCCTGATTACCTTCTGATAGCTGCTCACCAGTTGGTTTCTCTCACTTTGACAGATCTAGTACTTTGTTTAACCTTTAAACCAGTAGGGCAATAACACAGCTGACAGAAGGGGAGAAATAATTAAGGAAAACTTAGCCAGGACATTAAAAAATCTCTAACAAGGCAGATATTTCTGTTCAACTTGAAAACTTGTCAAGGGATACATACAATTCTCCATAATTGCTATAGCAAAATGTTTCATAATTTTTGCTAGCTTCAAATTAATTTTAGCAATGTAATTTAATCAAATTACTAAGTGTATTCCTTTATAAATATCTATAATTTACACTCTCAGGAAGTACATTTTAATATTTCAATACTTCTAAGAAAAGTGATATCCAAGAGAACTTAATTTCTGGAAGAATCAGAGAGGAAATATATTTTAAAAATATTGTGTAAAAATCTGCCAACAGTCTGTTTTACATTTTCTGAAATGGCTGATACATGCTTTTGGAAAATCACACAAGTTATAAATATGTCTAGGTTCATATTGTTAACAACTCTAAGCATTAAAACATGGTCGACAGTAATTAGAAGAAAACAAGACATCCTGAACTTTATTGGCTTTTATTTAGAAGTACTTTTGCGAGCAACTTTAGATAATAACTTGCTAGGGAAGGAGTCAGTACTGTCTCCTCTTTTCTTCTTTTCAACATTCTCTCAGCATTAACTCCACCTCTGAAGGCCTGACCCCATCACCATACTTACTTCATTTTGGAGCCATTTAGTTCCTTCAGCGAGAGGGTATATCAGATCTCTCCAGGTATTCCTCCCATTAATCCACACACGCAAAGCAGAGAAGTAGAGAGAGTGCTTCATTGTTGCATGAAGATATTTAATGAAAGTCAGAACAACTTCTAAATGAAAAAGCACAAATAATCTCTTCAGATCATTAATAATTTGGCAGTTTATAAGATATTAAAATATAATGTGCTCATTATTTTCCTTAAATCTATTGAGAGCATTACATAATTCCTTATGCTTAACTGTATGCTTTTTGGCTAAGATGATATCAGCTAATATAGGTGGCTCATCCTTGTCAGATCTAAGATACTGACATCGAGAAACATCACAATTGTCTTCTAATTGTGCCTGACAACAAGTCTAATTTAGCATTCTTTCATACATCATTTATCATAAATCTTACATTCCCTGTTATCCATTCTTATGTTAATTGATTGCTATCATGTTTCCTACTTCATGGTTGCATAAATATTTCTTAAGAAACAAGTGTAGCATTTCCAATAGCTAAAAAACCCTCAAGTCATATTAAAACAACAATATTCTCAGCCATGTAGATATATGCCATGTTATTAATTGAATTTTGAGAAGGATTTCAACAAAACAACTGAGCTAGAACATTGAACTGTATTACTATTACTGATCTCTTTAGTAGTATATACTTTATATTATAAAATATGTAAAAGACAAGATCCCTTCTTTTAATGAATTATAGTGAGGGGGAAAAATCCCTCCACAAATCAAAAGAAGAAAAGAAAATGAACATATAGTTGCAACCATCTACTATTTTGCATTCCTACAGTGCTGAAATGATTTTGTCGCTTAATCTACAACCCCTTAAAGGACTCTTTAAGTGGACAAGGAAGCCTTATGAAGTATCAGAATGAAGGGGGAGTGTTTGAGGATAGTAGGTGGGGGAAAGCATCTTGAGACACATAAAACATTCTAGAGTATCCAGAAATGGGAGGAGTTTAGCTATGCAATGAATAGCACTGGGTTTGCCTGCCTGAGTCAGACAAACTTGGAAAAGATGTATAGGGGGACAAATACCTAATGAATGTGGGGCTTCAAACCTAGATGATGGGTTGATAGGTGTAGCAAAACACCATGGCACGTGTATACCTATGTAACAAACCTGCACGTTCTGCACATGTATCCTGGAAATTAAAGTAAAATAAAATAAAAAGGATGTGTAGGGAAACTTCTCAAATGGAAATGAAAGTTTTGACTTCTGTGAATTAAAGTTTATTCCTACTTTTGGGAGACAAATTAGAAATCACTAGAGTTTACTATATGCAGTCACCAAAATAATACTAAGGTCAGACTTATTTTTTTGATGAAGGAATTGCTGAACATCAGAAATCAGGCTGGAAAGAAGTAATGTTCACCCAGGTACAATGATACTAGGATCTGGTCAGGGTCACAGCTACTGGCTTCATGAAGAAAGTGACATATAAGCTGGATCTCAAAGGATGGGTGTGAGTTAGACAAGGGGAGAGGAAGAAGAAAGGTGAGAAATGGCCCAGAAAGAAGGAAAGAACTATGAACAGGCTCTAAGGTAAAGAACTTGGTGCTTTGGAAGAGATTTTTAAAATTTCATGTAACTGGAATTTAGAGGATGAGGTTGTGAGTGGGGAAAAATGAGGTTATGTAGGTTTTTTTTAATGTCATGTAAAGGAGTTTGAACTTTATCCTAAGAGAGCTGGGGAGGCTTTGGAAACTTTTAAGCAGGGGAACACCACCACGATGAAGTTTGTATTTTAGGAAGATTGTTCTGTCTGAGTGTAGAGAATGGATTAGAGGTAAGCAAGAAAAAAAGCAGGAAGCTAAGGAGGTGGCAGTGTAGTATTCTTGACAGAACAGAATGGTTGCCTGGTGTAGTCTGGGGACAGTGGGGAAAGTGAGAAGGGCCTAGCTCTAAGAGCTTTAGCAAAAAGACGTGGTAAGCTTGGCAGTTGGTATGGTGTTGGAGAAAAGGAGAGGGAAAAGAAGGGGTCCAGAACGAGGCTGAGGTAATAGACGTGGTGAGAGGTTACGTGCAAAAGATTAAAAACAAAATATAACAAAACACAGAAAGACTACAAGAGTTAAGAAATAAAAGGCCATATTATTTGTTGTAATGAGGGTGCTGGTGATAGCAGTCTGGTAGAAAGAGAGTAATAGAAGGTGATTTTGACACATTTAATTTAGGAAATTCAAATGGAGATATTTTACAAGGAGCAGCAAATATGAACCCAGAGGCACAGCGAGACATCAATGACTAAAATTCTTCAAGGGACTCTAAAGAGAACCAGGGCTTGAACCATACAGTTCAATGCTAATGGGCCATCAGATTGAAAGGGTCCCTTAAGGGGAGTGGAATAATTAACAAGAAAGCCACAAAAATATGAAAAATTGTCTCTCTGAGGTCAGAGAGAGGTCAAGTAAAAGAGTGTTAACTATATGAGGGGTCTTTGGTTTTCTGATAGTTTTGTGACATCTGGATTCCTCTGGTTATAGGACACAGTAGTGACTATTGATTGCCTATCTAATATTAATTCATTCAATTTTGTACACTAATAGAATTCCAATCTTGTTGGTGGTGGCAATGTGCTCAGTTAAAAAGTTACATTTTCCAGCCTTCTTTGAAGCTAAAGCCGGCCATGTGACATGGCTCTGGCCTAAGAGATACATGCAGAAGTCATCAGGTGTGGCATCTTATAAAACTCTTTAAAAAGGGGGTAGGCTTAAAAGGTCACGAACCCTTTAATTTTTTTTTTTTTTTGGTCTGAAATGTTGTGATGATACTGGAGAGGTGGGGCAGGGAGAAGGAGCCATCTTGCAATCAGAAGGACAAGAGTCATATCCTAAGGCTGTCTGAGTGAAAAGATAGTAGGAACCTGGGATATTGAGGACACTGTAGCTGGTATGCTGGTCCTGGTCTCCCTATCACTGGACTTTTCATAAAGTCATAAAAATAAAATTTTTAATTTTGTTAGGGATGAATTCAGTACAATTAAAATGGTAAAATATTATTAATATTATTGTAAATAGTAACGTTTATGATTTTTGAGTGTTTTCTATGTGGAAGGCACAGTGCTCAACACTACATATATTGTTTAATTTAATCCTTATAATCCCATATAATCCTATACATTTGACATTTTATCTCCATTTTATAGATGAGGAAAACAAGATTCAGAGAATTAAAGTAAATTATCCAAAGTTACACAACTAGTACACTTACTAGTCTCCCTTCTAAACCCATCAATTAATCTTGCATCAGTAAATGTTGACTTCATGTTCACTTTTGGACTGTTTTGCTCTTAGCCATTTGTTATCCATATCTGCTAGTGATAAAAAGTAATATTTCAAACAAGAATAAGACGAGCATTACTGGTAAATACATTGAATGAATATATGACTGTGGAGACTGGTGCCAGTCCACACATTTTCTGATATGCATTGACTGAAAAAGTTTTCCTCTAAACTCTTAAAGACCCCACTAAACTTCTGACATTCTGTAGGGCTCAAATATAAGCCCCGGTAGTGTCTCTCACTGTCTCGGACTAAAAAAATGAAATTAAATGATTACATAGTTATTATCACTATTTAGAAATGTACATGCACCAGATGTGGACACAACTGCTTCTGTTTCAGAGCTACCTGATCTCACTCCTGTGGGGATTTCTTGGGTGACTGAGAACAGTCTATTACTGGAACTCATGATGCAGTTCTCCAACAGCACCTTCTGGCTGAACTAACTTAGAAATTTGTAGTAGCTTCAACAAGAGCCATAGCTAGTGAGACGGAACCACACATGTCACGGAAATTACAGATGCTTCTAATATAGGCAGAGACAAGGTACTCTTGATAAAAGGGTCAGCAAAGAAGAGCAAGTGCATGTTAAAGAAAACTACCTGATAAATTCAGTTGTTCTAATTTCTGTTCAATCTGGAAAGGGGGGCTACAATAATGACTATGTCTATTCAAGCACATATACAAATTTACCTTAGAAAGGACCATCAGGCCAGGTGCGGAGGCTCACACCTAAAATCCCAGCACTTTGGAGGCCGAGGCAGGCGGATCACGAGGTCAGGAAATCGAGGCCATCCTGGCTAACATGGTGAAACCCCATCTCTGCTAAAAATACAAAAAAATTAGCTAGGCGTGGTGGTGGGTGCCTGTAATCCCAGCTACTCGGGAGACTGAGGCAGGAGAATGGCGTGAACCTGGGAGGTGGAGCTTGCAGTGAGCCAATATCGCTCCATTGCACTTCAGCCTGGGAGACAGAGTGAGAATCCAGGTAAAAAAAAAAAAAAAAAAAAAAAAAAAAAAAAAAAAAAGACCATCATAAAAAAGAAGCTGAGTCAGTTTGTTATGAGACATTTGTAATTATTTACATGATCATCATGCTCAACCTCTAGGTCCGGGACACTATAAAGTTAGCAACATTTGTTCATGTCTGCAAAACTGCAATTAATTTCAATTGAAATGTAGCCATAATTGTTGAATATACCCACATTATTTTCTCAAAAGGAGATTTGTGATAGCTGTTGTCTTCATTTTTCAAGTTAGCAAAACCTGTGATGCGCATTGTAAATGCTCAATATGGCTTCATCGCAAAGTAAATACCTTTCCTTATGTGCAAAGAATTTGGCTCACACATGTTGTACAGATATTCATATGGTTAGAGTAATTCAACTGCATGGCAGGGAGACACAATTTATGGTCATTCCTCTGGTATACTAGGGAATTATTCATATACCTTCTTCTGTTTAGGGGGAAGAAAGTGTGAGCCTGAGATCTGATCAAATGTGATTTCTTTATTAGACTCAGGCATGAGTCTCTAAATATCCACCTTGCAAATTGGGGAAGCTTTAAAGTGGGTATTTTCTGCTCTCCAAAGGTGGTTTTCTGGAAAGGGAAAGAGATTGGAAGGCATTCTGGTATGCCTGTGTTGTAATCAGTAAAGTTAGGCCAGGAAATTCCAGATGTATCTTCATTTCTGCATTTCTTCTTACAAAAATCCATACTGTTTCTTTTCACAACACAGATCAAGAACTTAAGGCTTTCTTGAAACTGTTGAATTCACATCAGGTGTTTTTCTTCCCCAAAAGGATCTTTTGCTGAGGTAATTTCTTTCTGTGACAAAACTTGCTATGAAATTTTACTTTTCTATTATATTAATTAAGTTTGTATAACAAAGTACCACAAACTTAGTGGCTGGAAAAAATACAGACTTATTCTCTTATAACTGGATGTCAGACATTTAAAATCAAGGTGTTGGCAGGGCTAGTTCCTTCTGGAGGCTCCAGTTAAGAATTTGTTTCTTGTCTCTTCCAGCTTCTAGCAGCTGCCAAGCATTCCTTGGCTCATGGCTTCCTCATTCCAGTCTCTGATTTTGTAGTTATTTCACTTTCTCTTCTCTCTGCCCTCCTGTCTTCCTCTTATAAGGACACTTGTGATTACATCAAGTCCACCAGAATAATTCAGGATAATTGACCTATCTCAAGATACTTAGCTTAATCCTATTTGCAAAGTTTCTTTTCTCATCTAGGGTGACATATTTACAGGTTCTAGGGATTGGGGATAGACATCTGTGAGGGTCATTATTCAGCTTATCACACCTGTATAAATAGATTTTTAGAACATTAAATAGTAGTTTACTATTTTGAATGACTATAAGTCACCATTTTTGTTTATACCACAGACACTTCACACTGTGAATGCTAGACCTGTCTTGAGCTCCAAAATTCCAGGGGATACTGATTTTCCTGTGACTTCCTACTCCAGAATAATGTTACACAAAAACTGGAACCATATTGAACTAACATAGCCATTCTGAGTCCTGGACTTGAGTCTGCTCTTCAAATGACTTCAAGGAGCACTGCATGTGTCAGAATCCTTGGACTCAAACCAACAGCATGCTTTCCCATAAAAGTGACCAAGAAGCTGTGGTCAGGAAACTTTATTGATTTTTAAAGAAGTGTTCTCTAAGAAAAAAGAGGATCTTGGTGATTACAAACTATTTCTTAAAAAAGACTTTTGATTTCATCTCTCAGCTTTGCTTCAACATTGACAATTCTGCACCAGTTACTTGTGATTGTTGTTTTTCTGTTAGATGTCATGTTATGGCTATACTTTACCTCTATTTATTTTCTATAATTTATGGAAGGGAGTGTTATCTAGGCTTTCTCCAGATGTACGGCTGACTGACTGGCCCTTGAGTGGGCCTGAGTGGGTTTGTCTTGCTGTCTGTGAAGAGGGTTTTTTTTTTTTTTTTGGCTCCAGTTTCCTTCTTTGAGGAGGAGGGTTATGGGGTTGGTGGAGACATGGCCTGGGGTGAACTGCTGAAGTGATTGCTGCACCTTATGACTGTAGACTCTTCTTTATCTTTTTAAGAAGTTATGACCCGGTGAAATGTCATAGAGAACTTCAGGAATTTATGACCCATTAAATAGGAACTTTTGCTCTGTTGGAAATATTTGGCAGAAAGCTTCCTGTCACCTCCTCCCACAGAGCTGGAGGGAAAGATCAGTGAGCATGTGTCCCTCAGGCTCCTAGCTCTCGGTCCCCTCTCCCCTCTTTCCTTCCTGCCAGTGACCCTGCTGAGGGCAATCGCTGCCTGTAGAGCAGGAGGCCAGCACTGTCCACCTGCTCCTCCTGTGACTAGATGGGAAATCTCAACACAGGGTGCAACACATAGGAAGTTCATCTATACTTTCATTCTAGACTGTTTTCCAACATATTTTTGGCAGTAAAATACAACAGATATGGTCTTTTTATTTCCACCCACTAAATCTCAATTATTTCAGAAGAGAGGGGTTTGATTAATTGGTACCAGAAACCCCAACAGGGAGCACTACAAATTGTTGCACCTAAAAACTCATCTTTCATGTTTAAAATTTAAAAATGCATCATTTATACATTGCCCCGCTTTCAAAATAAGTTTTATTGACGCTTCCTCTCACTGTCTCTGTCTCTCTCTCTCACATCTCTTGCACCCCATCTCTATCTTTTTCACCTTTCTCTCTCTCCTTAGCTCTTCCCTCCTTCCCCCCCTCTCTTTCTCTCTTTCTCTGTCTCATACACACACACACACACACTCACACACACACACACACACACACACGGTTTGGTTGGATCATTGGGGCAGTTTCCCCCATGCTGTTCTTGTGATAGTGAGGGAGTTCTCATGAAACCTGATGGTTTAAAAGTGGTACTTGCCCCTTCACTCTCTCTCTCTCTCCTGCTGCCTTGTGAAGAAGGTGCCTGCTTCTCCTTCACCTTCTGCCATGATTGTAGGTTTCCTGAGGGCTCCCCAGCCATGCTGAACTGTGAGTCAATTAGACCTCTTTCCTGTATAAATTACCCAGTCTCAGGCAGTTCTTTATAGCAGTGTGAAAATGGACTCACACACACACAAACACACATACACACACACACACACACCACAGAGCACAGAAGCAGAGCTAATGAGTTGAACAATTTAATTATTTTGTATATTAAATTTGTTTTGGTTGCAATCACACCCTTGAGTCTCTAGAAACTTTGAAGAAGAAGTCTTATATGTGCCAGTTGTTCTGACTCATTCATTCAATTCATTTAATAAATATTGAGCATCTGTAATGCACCAGACACTGTTCTAGGTGCTTGGAATATATTGATGAATTAAAGAGAAAAATATCCCTGCCCTCATGGAGCTTATGTTCTTGCAGAGAGAGACAAACTACAAACAATACACATAATACATATAAGTTATTTGGTCTTTTGCAAGGTGATAAATGCTACGGAGAATAAGAACAGAGAGAGGGCTCTGTACACGGAGAGGGGCAGAGCAGTCCATGGTTGAACAGGGGTCTCTGAAGGTGTGTGTGTAGCAGTGAGGGAAGGGGTGGAAATGCCAATGGAAAGGAAGTCATATGTAAGAAGGGCACAGCAAAAGGGCTTGGTGTGACGTATGGCATCCTTTCATGACAGGAAAGAGTGGGCCGATGCAGGAGCTCATTGTACTCCCCAAACATGTCTGAGACACATACCCTGCCACTACTCTAGCCCTTCACTGCTTTTATTCTCCTTATGCCTGAAATGTCTGAAAGCCAATCTGCACTGTGAAGGATGGAGATGGCAGAGGTTATGGGCATAATGGAAATAATTCAGAATTAGTTTCAAGAGACTTGCAATGTAGCCTTGGGGTTCTGCTTCTAACTACTATGAGACATTGGACAAGCCACTTAACCTTTTGGGTCTCAATTTCTTCATTTGTAAAATGAGAGAGTTAGGCATATGATGCCACTTAACTCTCTCCTTCTTGGAGTCCATAGGAGCAAATAGGAAAGTGGGGAAGAAATAAGAAGGCAAGAGGAGATGGAGCTAAACAAAGTCAAATAAAACAGGAATGGAGTATTTGGACAAAGGGAGAAAGGGACAAAAGATAATGAAGGAAAAAAGAAGACAAATGTAAAAGTAGCCAGAAAATATTCCAATATAACACAGATATAACCATAGATAGATGAGCAATTACCTTCTCCCCTTTTACATTTCTGGAAAACTACTTTTGTTGTAGCTCCAGCACTGTATGCTGTGAAATACATTTAGTGGGTCTTCTTCCTTGTTTTCTGGTGTACAACTCCTAGAATTCTTAGGCTGTCCAAAGGGCTGTCTTTTTGTATGCCAAAGTTGACCAACAGCTTTAGGATGGGGCTGGTCACCAGATAGACAGAGACATAATTAGAGGGTTGGGACTTTTAGCCCCACCCCACTACCTCCTGGGAGAGGAGAGGAGCTGAAGGTCAAGTTGATCACCAATGGCCAATGATTTAATCAATCATATATATGTAATAAAGCCTCCATAGAACCCAAAGAGGACAGGGTTGAGAGAGCTTCTGGATAGCTAAACACAAGGAGGTTCCTGAAGGGTAGCACGCCCAGGGAGGGAATGGAAGCTCCCTGCCCCTTCTCCCATGCCTCTTCATCTGTATCCTTTTTAATATCCTTTATAATAAGTTGGTAAATGTAAGTGAGTGTTTTCCTGAGTTCTGTCAGCTGCTCTAGTAAATTAGTCAAACCCAAAGAGGGGGTCATGAAAACCCCAACTTAAAGACAGTCGGTCAGAAGTTCTGAAGGCTCAGGCTTATGACTGGTGTCTTGGGGGGCAGAAGAGGGGCAGTCTTGGGGACTGATCCCCCAATCCGTTGAATCTGACACTATCTATGTACAGGTAGATATGTTGGAATCACATTGGAGGACATCCAGCTGGTGTCCAATGCTTGGTGTGTGGGGAAAAACTGCTATAATTTAGTCATAGAAGTCTTTGCTGATGATTGTTGTCATGTTGTGGTGTGAGAGCAGGAGAAAAACCCTGTTTGAGAGAATGCTCCTAAAACATGTACATAAAAAACATCCTGCTCAATTCCCTACAGAAGTATTCCTTGAATGTGGGTTTCTGGGGTCTCAGATGGAACTTAGAATTCATGTTTCAGGATCCAGATAAAATTATGGTATTCACTTTCATATTTTAGACATAAAGATTACAGGAGCTTTTAGGTCTTTGGTAACTTTTCCACCTTGGATAACACTCTTTTAATGGGAAAATAGGATTCAAACAACTGGGAGCATATTTTATAATTCTGATTGCTTTCTGTGTCTTAATTAATTTTGACATCATCCCAGAGTATATCTGTTTTCAAAGAGATTAACAGTCAGCTTTTGCTTATCTGGCTTACATATTTCATTTTACAGGTTTTTCCTGACAAACTCCTCTCTCCCATGCTTGGCATCTTCCTCCCTCCTGGCCATTTCCCAATTTATTAGCACCAACCTCTAGAGGGAAGATAAGGGAATAAATAAAATATAAATCACTTAATTCCTATAAACTATTGCAAAAACTGGCAAAGGGTAGAGGTTGAAAGCAAAGGCCAAGTAAAGTTTAAGTTACAGACGAGAAGAGATAAGGCTTTTCCTACTTTGCACATTAAAATTGGTCCCACATAGGCATGAGGGCATCTTAAAATATTGATGAGCTCCACATAGCAACTCTAAATAGATAGATAAAGGGGTAAAGGACATAGTTGAAGAAGTTGGCCTTGGAAAGGAATAGAGCACCACATCTAAAAAAAAAGTGAACAGTAAGGGTGGATAATGATAGATACCTATCAAGAGAGGGTGGGGACAACGTTGAGGTACTTGATGCTTGATGGACTCTATTTTCTTCCTTCTGAAAAGGAAGAGACATAGCCATCTTCCTAGGGACAGTGGGGCAGGAGGAGGCTTGTAGAGAATGAGACGGGTTTGGATCAGCTGGTATGAAGAGTAGGAAAAGGAGTCAAGTAAAGATAAAATAATTGTTAGGTAGTGTTCAAGAATTAGTAAAAGCTTATCCACCATGATCAAGTGGGCTTCATCCCTGGGATGCAAGGCTGGTTCAACATATGCAAATCAATAAACATAATCCAGCATATAAACAGAACCAAAGACAAAAACCACATGATTATCTCAATAGATGCAGAAAAGGCCTTTGACAAAATTCAACAATGCTTCAGGCTAAAAACTCTCAATAAATTAGGTATTGATGGGACGTATCTCAAAATAATAAGAGCTATCTATGACAAACCCACAGCCAATATCATACTGAATGGGCAAAAACTGGAAGCATTCCCTTTGAAAACTGGCACAAGACAGGGATGCCCTCTCTCACCACTCCTATTCAAGATAGTGTTGGAAGTTCTGGCCAGGGCAATCAGGCAGGAGAAGGAAATAAAGGGTATTCAATTAGGGAAAGAGGAAGTCAAATTGTCCTTATTTGCAGATGACATGATTGTATATTTAGAAAACCCCATCGTCTCAGCCCAAAATCTCCTTAAGCTGATAAGCAACCTCAGCAGTCTCAGGATGCAAAATCAATGTGCAAAAATCACAAGCATTCTTATACACCAATAACAGACAAACAGAGAGCCAAATCATGAATGAACTCCCATTCACAATTGCTTCAAAGAGAATAAAATACCTAGGAATCCAACTTACAAGGGATGTGAAGGACCTCTTCAAGGAGAACTACAAATCACTGCTCAACGAAATAAAAGAGGACACAAACAAATGGAAGAACATTCCATGCTCATGGATAGGAAGAATTAATATCATGAAAATGGCCATACTTCCCAAGGTTATTTATAGATTCAATGCTATCCCCATCAAGCTACCAATGACTTTCTTCACAGAATTGGAAAAAACTACTTTAAAGTTCATATGGAACCAAAAGAGAGCCCACATTGCCAAGTCAATCCTAAGCCAAAAGAACAAAGCTGGAGGCATCACGCTACCTGACTTCAAACTATACTACAAGGCTACAGTAACCAAAACAGCATGGTACTGGTACCAAAACAGAGATATAGACCAATGGAACAGAACAGAGCCCTCAGAAATAATGCTGCAAATCTACAACCATCTGATCTTTGACACACCTGACAAAAACAAGAAATAGGGAAAGGATTCCCTATTTAATAAATGGTGCTGGGAAAACTGGCTAGCCATATGTAGAAAGCTGAAACTGGATCCCTTCCTTACACCTTATACAAAAATTAATTCAAGATGGATTAAAGACTTAAATGTTAGACCTAAAACCGTAAAAATCCTAGAAGAAAACCTAGGCAATACCATTCAGGACATAGGCATGGGCAAGGACTTCATGTCTAAAACACCAAAAGCAATGGCAACAAAAGCCAAAATTGACGAGTGGGATCTAATTAAACTAAAGAGCTTCTTCACAGCAAAAGAAACTACCATCAGAGTGAACAGGCAACCTACAGAATGGGAGAAAATTTTTGCAATCTACTCATCTGTCAAAGGGCTAATATCCAGTATCTACAAAGAACTCAAACAAATTTACAAGAAAAAAACAACACCATCAAAAAGTGGGCAAAGGATATGAACAGACACTTCTCAAAAGAAGATATTTATGCAGCCAACAGACACATGAAAAAATGCTCATCATCACTGGCCATCAGAGAAATGCAAATCAAAACCACAATGAAATACCATCTCACACCAGTTAGAATGGTGTTCATTAAAAAGTCAGGAAACAACAGGTATGGAGAGGACGTGGAGAAATAGGAACAGTTTTACACTGTTGGTGGGACTGTAAACTAGTTCAACCATTGTGGAAGTCAGTGTGGCAATTCCTCAGGGATCTAGAACTAGAAATACCATTTGACTCAGCCATCCCATTACTGGGTATATACCCAAAGGATTATAAATCATGCTGCTATAAAGACACATGCACACGTATGTTTATTGCGGCATTATTCACAATAGCAAAGACTTGGAACCAACCCAAATGTCCGTCAATGATAGACTGGATTAAGAAAATGTGGCATATACACACCATGGAATACTATGCAGCCATAAAAAAGGATGAGTTAATGTCCTTTGTAGGGACATGGATGAAACTGGAAACCATCATTCTCAGCAAACTATTGCAAGGACAAAAAACCAAACACTGCATGTTCTCACTCATAGGTGGGAATTGAACAATGAGCACACTTGGACACAGGAAGGGTAACATCACATACTGGTGCCTTTCGTGGGGTGGGGGAGAGGGGAGGGATAGCATTAGGAGATACACCTAATGTAAATGACGAGTTAATGGGTGCAGCACACCAACATGGCACATGTATACATATGTAACAAACCTGCAGGCTGTGCACATGTACCCTAGAACTTAAAGTATAATAAATAAATAAGTAAATTACTTCATGAACACAAAAAAAAGAATTAGTAGAAATTCCTAAATTTGCAAAAATTATTAGCACAGTTAAGAGATTTTCCTGGGTGCCTTCAGAAGCCTAGGAACAGGAGTAGATAAAAATGAATAGAAGGGCTCATTCCTGATGTGGAATTTTCAGGATGGTTACAGCAGAAGAGTAAGGGAAGACGATGGAGAAGAAACTGGTCTGAAGAGATATTATCTGTGTTATTTCATTAAAGCAGCAGCAATTTCTCAATAAAAAAGGTATTTGTTAGACATTGAGTCTAATTTACAGATGAACAAAGTTTGAAATAGCAGGTTTTCAAAAGTGGCAAAAGCCTGTAGTACTCTCTGATTCCAGGAATGTTCTTTTCCACTGTACATTGCCTTATGGGAGTGAGTGAATTGGAGGTTTTGGTAATATTGTCATTAAAATTATTACGTTAACAGTGAGATTAATGCAGGTAGTTGGAGTTGGAACCTAAGTAGGCGGGGGTTGACGTGTTGGGGAATATATTAAACGTGAAGAGTAGGTTTTGAGGCAACACAGTAGCAGGAACCCATTATAACACTATCCATACATTATAACACTGTGAATAGAGCAGGAGATCCCACTCTCTGAGTGAATTATTTTGTAAGTGGAGACAAGGTCCAGGATGTGGCCACGACATTGTTACAATGAAATGAAGATGAAAGGCTAGAGAAGCTCCCAATGGAGGAGACTTACAAGTACTAAAGAGATCATCTACTTAGTGTGGAAGTGACACAAGATGATGCCTGGAGATTAGGAAAAGAGTGCAAACCAGGGGCAAGAATCATCAATGACTGTGGAGACAGATAGAAAAGGGGTGTGTGATAAACAAGAAACCACTAGAGAGCAGAAATATACTCCTGCTTTGTCTGGCCTGACCCTCCCATACACCATGAGCTGGCTGGCCCATCAAGGTCAGTAATCATCACTTTTAGATTTTCCTATAAAATCCCAGTCACCTTCCACGTCACTTCTTTCTAACATGCACTTTCTCTGAGCTTATTTCAAGTCTACATTAAAACTCTTGGCTCTATGAGTCTAACCACATCCATAACTGACACCGGACTTGGCTTTTCTCATATTCAAACTTCAGCTTTTTTTTTTTTCCTAATGAACTCTTATTCATGAGGCTGTCTTTTGTGTCCTTCTTGTTTCTTGGGTTAGAAATCCCAGCCATAACTTTTACCCTAAACCACATCCCTGTGTCTTAGAGAGTGGCATATCTGGAAGGCAGGAGCTTCAAAGAACAGCTGGCCTTTCAGTGAAGTGGCAAAACAATATTGGGCTGATTCAGAACAAAGAGTGCCATCTACTGAAAGCCCACTTAGCTGTTTAGTAATTTATTCAGCTGTATGAGTTATCATAAAATAGTCTCAAAATAGCATTGTGAAAAACATGAGATGGGAGAAAAGGACATGAAATGTTATAGCCAGGTAATCCTAAAATGTGGTGGTTAAAGGCGGAAGTCAAGGTCTACCCTTACCCACTGAAAAAAGGGTCTCTGAGATTGTTTTCCTTCCTATGGGATTCTGTGGGAAGTTTCCAATAGACAGTCACCTAGAATAGGGAAATGGCTTTTTATTACTAAAGATGAATATTTAATAATAATCATTTGGAGAATTAAAATAGTTCAAAATGACAAAGTAGACCAAAGTAAACTAGGATAAAACAGAAACAAATTATTATATGGAGGCAAGGAATCCTATTCCTGTATGGCAAGACGATGGTACCTGAATTCATAATGTACAGTGGTCCAAGCAGATTGGTTAGAGAGCAACAACCGCATGCATTTTGCAGGGAATGTCTCTCACCCTGTTGCCACTTTTTTCAGTGCTCCATATGCTAGATTGCAACTACAGATTTAGCCCTTTTGCCCAAAGGCATCTGAACCTGTGAAAAGCCTAGCTGGGGCACTTTCTATTGTTCATTGACAACTTGTCAATTTACTTCCAGGCAAAATAATTCATAAACATGATAAGTAAGGCAGATAAAACAAGAATTCTTTCACACTTTGCAACTTTACTGCAAAAATGGCTTATTTTCCATAAATGTGTGAAATCTCCCCTCTGAATTGTGACTGTGCATTGAACTTTAAAACTGTTTAGAAACAGCACAAGCATTTCACAATTCCTGACTGTAATAAGATGAATGTTAAATATTAAACATGCATTAAAAGTGATAAAATAAAAGATTTTCAAACGTTCACTAGCATCACCATATTTCTCTTTGATTCTCAGAGTTAATAAAAGTTAAGTTTAACAATACTCTCTAAGAGACAAATGTTTAAGCACTATCTTCTAAATTTGACATTTCATATATTTATATTAGCTATTATCAAAACCCTTATGTCAGTTAAAAAAAGATAAACTATATTATTATTAAATTCAAAAGCAGTATGTGGTATGTTAGCATATGTTCATACTGTAATGAAGTGGCTTTTGTTTCTGATATTTATAATCATTCCATTTCTAATGTACTGTTTAAATATTGAAAGCTAATTGTGAATTCTTTTAGGTAAAATATTTTAAGTAGATAATAATTTTGAAATATATTATTCTCTAAGGCAAAGCGGTCTATTTATGTGTAGTTATTTATAAAGTCGTAGTCTTTAATGAAGCCATGTTCCCTGGATTCAATTCCCTGGTAATGGATTAGATTTTAAGCTTCTTGCTTACTGTGATGCCATCCCACAGTTACACTCGGCGGCCTCCTGATTTTTCCCAGGTGAACCTCCATAACACCAAACATCCTAATTTTGGACAGACTGAAAATGAAGGGAAAAACGAATGAGATGGGATCCAAACATACAAGACCAGGTTCAGCTTCCTGGCTTTGTTCTTCTTTTGTGACCTTTGCCCCTTAGACACAGTCTAGATTCCCGACATTTCCAGATAGAGGGTTTGAAGGTCCTATTAGCCTTTTCCCCCTATTTCCCCACATTTTCTTGACTTACTGTAGAATATTTATAAACAGGAACACATATTCATCTGTTACATAACAAATGGCTTTTGGGAAATAAGTGAGAGAACACGAGAAAAGAAATTTCAAAGACTGCAAAAAAAGGGGAGTACAACAAATCTGTGATAAACAAGGGTGCCTCAAAATAGGACACGTTTTGCAGGAGGCAGCGTCGAATAGTAGAAAGAGCCCAGAACTGGGGGGCCAGGGACCTGGGTTCCAATTACGTCACTGGTATTGAAGTTCTGATTCTCGAGGAGTCCATCCAGTTCGGACCTCGGTTTGGATCAGTTTTCCCCTCTTGGGAGAAAGAGGACAGTGCTGGCTGGGCTCCAGATCCCCTACTGATTTTTTTTTTCCTTTTGAACACAGGGATTTCCTGTAAGATTTTAAATGAAGAAAGTCTTCTACTGCTGTATAAAGAAAAAAAAAAGAAGAAGAAAGGTATTTACTGCCAGATCTAAAATTATATTATTATGTGAATAATGTAGTTAGATGATCTAACTTAATTCACAAAATGTTTTTCCAAACAAAATCATGTAGATTACAGATGACTCTTGTGTTTGCTTTAAAACAGGTGATGAATATTATGAAAAACTCCATCACCTGATTTTTGTGTGAACATAGAGAATATACATACCTGTACCAATGAACCTTCATTTTAAATGCTACTTTTTCTACCTGAATTTTTCCAGCATTCTTATCCTATAAGCTGGGGATTGCAGTAGCTTATATGATATTAGAGATTAATAAATCTCTAATTTATTAATCTGTTAGTTTTGTTTTAAAAAATTCTAGTTTTTTTTTTAAACCTAACAGATTAATAAAATAGAGAATGTATTTTTTACATGCTGTGTGATGTTCCAATTTCCACATCTGAGTATCTTGGTTTCATCATACCCAATTCATCATCCTGGCCATTGGCTATATAGAAGCAGGCCTCTTCCTCCCTACCCCAACCCCATTTTATCTAACTGTTACTTCCCACCCTCAATTCGTGGACTGTTTTTCTCCCCTCAGCATGAATGATCATGTAATTTTCCCATGAAACTAAATCTAGTTTATGTGCCCAATTCTCTAATTGTCAAGGTCATTTAAAATTTTGTTATTATTATTTTTAAATATGTTCACCATGTAACTTAATCTGGCATCCTTAGCAAATTAATAAGCACTCTATACACATTGTTACTAAAATTGTTGAAGATTGTCACTTGAAAAACCTTGCAAAGAGAAAGATCAGTAACCTAGGAGTAAATTGTTCAGGATTGTTGGAGAAATAGAGTATTTGTTGTAGAAATTCACCCCAAGCAGATATTGTAAGAAGTTAGAAGAAAAGCAGTGAGTTAAAATTAAGAAAGGCAAATAATAGGGCTCTATAAGAGTCAGGAGTATAAGAACGAGAACAAAAAAAAAAAAAGAGGAAAAATAAAGATATAAACCAAATGTGTATTTTGGCGCTATCAAGATACAGAACTTGTATTGAATATGCAAGTTTAGAATGTATTTGTTTAATTTAAAGCACTTTGTTTCATTTAAATACACAGCAAAGAGACTGCTTAGCACTGGACGTCAATTAATATTCTTCCAAAGGACTGGCAGGAAGCCATGGTGGACGTCTAGTCAGAGACAGTGTGTCACACTACTGTTGACTGTAAAATTAATTACCATTTCTAAACAAGAACTCTGTGATGCATATTCTTCCAGGCAAACTACACTACCCTCCTAGCATTAAAGGTTATAAATAATTATTTTTTCTTAAACGCTCTTTAGAGGAATTACAAGCAAAAACATTAACAGTCTCAAAAATAATGATAAAAAGAACACCCATCTATGGTGGGACAAGTCGACATTGTGAAGACAGGATTGAATATTAAGAAGTGTCACCTACCTAAAGTAAGTGTTAGACATTCGCATGATGGCATCAGCTGCTGATCTAATGCATCTGGAGCTGCCCTGTCACTAAGGCATTGCTAACCAAGGCAGAGACACAGACAAAGCTGCTTCATCATTAATGTCAGTAAAAGGATCTGGAGGAAAAATAGAGAGTCTCTGGAGACCTTGTCTGGACTTTTTGGAGCCTGGACAACAGTCCTTTCCAACAACAGTCTTTTCCAACCCAATAGCAGCTGCAACAAAAGAAAAAAGGAGGGCATTGACTTGAGTTGTCGTTAAGTTCAAAGAGGGAAGAATAGTAGCCTGTGATGAACCTTTATAGTCAGAGTTATTAATAGGGAGTTCTTTTTTATAGCTTTTGAAAATATCACATTTATGAAGAGTGCTAAATTATCCGGGGTTATTGTTTGGCATGTGTTGACTGGTCAGTTTTAAGCTGATAAAATTAAAATCTTTTCTATCTCTGAAGAGGCTAGAAGAGTACAAAATTCCTTTCTCAGGGTTGTAGCATATAGATTTAAAATAGCACTATCAATCTAGGGAAGTACACTTCTGGCTCTTGGTTGGGTACAGATTGGTTCAAGGATCATATTCAATGAGAAGTTATTAATGTTTCAGAGGCAACTAAAAGGACACATAAAATGATGTTCTGCAGGGGTCTGTCTAGGATGGTAATATTTAACATTTTATCAGTGACTTGGATGATAAAATATGGAACATGCTCATAAAGTTTCACAGAGGACTCTAAGTTGGGAGACGTAACAACAACCTTGGAAGATTGACTTATAATTCAAGATGACCTTGAGAAGTCAGCAGAGGAGTCATTCATGATCAGGTTTACATCCACTGTGTAGCTTAATGAGTGAGGTTTGAACAATTGGCAAAATGATAAAAAGAGGGACATGGGTAGACAAATATGAAATGCACTAAATACGAGTAACCTGGTAAATACAAGTTGTACCGGAAAGAAGCATGCATGATACTGGAGGGTGCGAATAGCATAATATACAGGATTATGGCATAGTTTGATGCTCTATGATTTAAATTAAGAACGATATAACAGACTGGGAACTACTCAATAAAGGCAAAAATGAAAGAACAATAAGAGGAAAAGTGAAATGACTTACGGTGGATGGGTACAGGGAAGTGAGGCCAAAGTCACTTAGGTGGGGAAAAATGAGATGGAATGAATGTGTATCAGCCCTTGGGGTGGGGGTAAAATTGTTACTGATGTTAAACAGGGCTTGCATGGGACTCTTCCACGCTATTCAGCTGCTATTGTTTTTCTTTGTACCACAGGCCTGGGCTGGTCCAGAGCTGACCTAGGCATGAAAATTCCTCCCCGCCTACCATTCCCAGCCTCTTTGGAGTGAATGAAGGCTCTGTCCAAGGGCTCATTCTGTCATGAGCTAGTCATGGGTAAAGGGTTCCAAGGACTTTCCTACCTAGTGTCAGATCAGAGCCTGGGAGTGGCTGGGAGTGGAGGCGTTGCTCAACTGATCTTTGGTGGAGGTGCTTTTGGCCTAATGGAAGGTGTAAGTCTCACTGTCATTTAAGGAACATGATATTAGCTTTTCTACTATCTTTAATAAAACTAACTATAATTTAAAAATCTGTTTACAATGCATTGCCAATAACACTTGCTGTGTCCAAAGGACCCAGACTTATCTTTTTTTTCAGGTATAGTTCATGATTCTTCCTTTCCAATTGCTTTTATTTATTTTATCATTCTTCTAGTTTCCTTTTGTTCAAAAAGTATGCATATAGTTCATACCACTTATAGCTCACTGATTTACATGTGACTTTAGTATTGAACCCCCACCTGTAGTTGTTCAAATGATTTAATAATGTAATTGTTGGCTGCTGTCAGGGAGGATGTCTGCTGGGTCAATGCAGAAAGTAACATTGCAGCCATGATTGAGGCTCATTGTGAGATTTTTGGTGGGGGGGACATTTAACTTAAATATTCTGTTTTTACCAAAAGATTGGTTTGCACAGATTATTCTTACTGATACTGGAGAAAAGTATGTAAAGAAAGAAATAGTGAGAGCCTGTGCCTAGATAACAGACAACAGGTATGCCTCCAAGAGTGCATTGGAAGCGGGTAGATCTCTTCAAGAGTCCAGTAGTGGGTTAAGAACAGTAGTAGAAGAGCCATAAAAACCAAATGTTGAAGACTCTTCAAAGTATGAATTTACAACAATCACAAAAAGACTTGGGATTTTAATTACTGCCTTTTAATTACCAATAAACAAAAATAATTCATTTTGAATATACTTTTATACCAGTGATTCTCAACATTGGCTACACATTGGAATTGGCTCAGCTACTTTTCAGAATATTGCTGCTGTGTCCTAGAAATCAGAGATTCTGACATAAAGGGTCTGAAGTAGTGCCTGGGAATTGGGATTTTAGAAGCTCCCCAGGTGATTCTATTGTATAGCCAAGGTTATAAACCACTGAGCTATATATACCATGTCTTATGCCATGTGGCCGCAACCTGTAACAACAAATTACTGGCAGCAACATTTTTACACTTCTCACAGTGCTCCTGTCCTGACTCTCTAGCTGTCTTCCTCTTCACGTTTGACACTCTTAGAGTTGTTTCTGCATTTGCTGCCCCAGTCTCACCCAGGTATAACAGTAGGTTTTGCTTTCCCTGATTTTCACCTTACACATTTCCTCTTATTTTACTTGGCTTTTAAAATAGTAAAATTGGCCTGCATGGCTTGCACCCTTGCTTGGCTAGCCCCAGAGGTTGAGCCCAGTGGGTAATAATATTCCAATACAGGACAGCATGGAACAACTTGAAATGTGAAACCACTCAGGTTATCTATGTGGTCATATTTAAAATGAGTGAAATGGAAGAGGATCATGAAATGAGAAGAATCTCAGGGTAAAACAACAATGAAGATGCAACCCTTAATTGTACATGGCTGAGATTTTTGCTTCCTAAATTAATACCAAAGCAATACTTTATACTATTTGTGTTTTTTTAAACATATATAACTATGATTACATAAACCCTAAAGCCAAGTATTTGTGTTAATTTTGTCATATTTTCTTGGTTATTCATAGCCAACATTTTGAAATTATTTAAAAATCAAGTCCCAGGGTAAATATATTTTCATATTTCATTATTATTATGGACCAGGTAGACTCATATGATAACTTCTTTCAAAATTTTGGATCACAATGTTGAAGAACAAGATGAAGCATCCAATACAAAATGGTGTCTCATCAAGGCCTGTTCTGTCTGGTTCTACCATATGGCATAATCGCAATTCTTTTAATATTTTAAAAATTAAAGTTAATAACAGGTTCATCGCACCACTAAGATGACAATTTCTTTGGTTCAGATATCAAGTCTGCAACTACTTTGATATCATTAACAGTGCTCCATTCAATCTGGGCACAATAGCTGTCCAATAAAATCTTATAGTTTGAAAGTGCCTTAACTCTTGGGTTTCTCCTAGATTATTTATATTCTCCTCTCTCATCCTTTTTCAATCTCTTCTCCTTCCATGCTACTGTCATCTATTTGTTTATTTGTTTTTATTCTTTCTGCTTCAAAGGGAGAAGGGTGACTGATGTCCCTAAAATTTCAAATAGTAACCTCCTGAGACAGAGGTCCAGGTTCTTATCTTCTTCAATAAACTTTGTTGAGTTCCTCAAAATTATCTTCTTGTGATCAGTGTTCTAAGTTTCTGGCTGCCTGCTTATGTTGCCCCAATTCATCATTAGAGAAGATGTATTATGTAGTAGATAAGATCAGTCATTTTCTCCAGCACAAAACCTGGAACCCTTTCAACTATTAATACAGATGAGTGGATGTTATTTTACTTTAATTAACTATTTTAATCTTTCTATGCTATATGGGTTTATACTCACAAATTTCAGTAATTCCTAAGAATATGTAATAGCTACAATAGATGTTAACATCAGTGTTGGGGTTACTATCTGTGAACAACACCTGAAAAGAATTTGGTTTCTTCAAAGGATTGACCTCAACAGAGTCTGACATTTAAATATGAACAATATCTTATGTTATCTATTTAGTTAGTCCAGAGTGAAGGCAGGCAAATTTCTTTTAGGATCTTTTCTGATATTTCTGTGACCTCTCCCTTTTTTGTGGTTTAGTTTTTCTTTTCTTCATTCAATAAACCACTATCCTCTGTTGACCCACATTTTCAACCGGGAAGACAGGCATCTATTTTTATTAAGAAGTTCAGTTTGGAACTTTATTATTGTCCTGCGTACTGTGCATCTTAAAGGAGGTACCTAAGAGAAGACTTTCATAACTCAAAACAAGGAAACTCTTATAGAAGGAATGTGAGATAATGGGTTAAGTCCTTGTGCCTAGGAACCACTGCTCAAATAATATTGTCATTTTGCCCCTTGAGAAGGCAGAACCAGCCCGGCAGAGACTTGCTTAGGCTTCCTCTGGTTTGGAGAACACCTAGGCTGAGTGACAGCCACCTAGGTGTAGAATTATTATATTGCTTCTGGTTTCCACGGAAGCTTTGAAACTCCCTGGGGATGTTTTACACCTATTAATAAAAAGATAGGACAAAATTGAATAATGGTGTCTGTTTCCATAAAAAGGAAATAAGACTCAACGGATCTTGCTCCCAAAGTGCTTTCATAAATAACAAGAAATTAATGCCCGCCACTAATTTTCTAGTCCTTTTTTTTTAAGACTAGAATCATATTTTCCAGTTAATAGTGACCTATTTTTGAGCAAGTTTCTCATCTTGTTCCAAACCTTTAGGGAGATAATTACTACACAATGGGTTCCCTATTTTTAGCAAACAGAGGAACCTGTCCATTGTGATCTTGAGCTTGCTGCATTGCATACATTTTATGTCTTATTTCTCCCCACTCCTTACACTTCCTCCTCAGCTGTGGCCGATTAGGTACCACATAGGTAATGACAATTTTATTCCTGGTTGTGTCAATAGTTTTACTTTATGTCTGGATTTCTACTGGAAGGTTCATCTGCAACCAGTGCTTTTACAAAAGTACACCCATTGGTCATAATGAGTTTAGGGTGCACATAGAGGCTGATAATGAATTTGAAAGAATTATAGAAAAAGCACCCTAAATGTAACATGGCCCAAATGTCTAGACCTGCAATGCCATTTTTGTATACAAAAATTAGCCTATTATCCTTAATTTAATAAGCAGAGAGTCTGTTTTATTGCATTTAACTTACACCTCTGAAAGCAAACTCATTTTTACTGTTCTAGCTTATGAATGATGAGCTTATTCTTTTAGGAGTGAGTGTAGGTGGAAAATAGATAGGGATTTTTTTTATAACATGAGTAGATAAAATACCTACTTCCTAGGGTGCATATTAGATCATAATGTAAATGCACAGATGATGGTAAATTGAGGTGGTAGCAGTTTCTAGTAATGTAATTAAATAGGAACCCCCAAATTTAAAAGGTTATGGGACTCGAAATAACAATGGCTATGAAATAAAAGTATTATGTATTAGTTATCTGTTACTGTGTAATAATACTACTACAAATTCTAAAATTAACATGTTTATTATCTCACAGTTGCCATGGATTTTAGCAGTCTGGGAACAGTTTAGCTGAGTTCTGTGCTTCAGGGTTTCACAAAGCTGCAATCAAGGTGTTGGCTGGGGCTGCAGTTTCATCTGAGACTCGCCCAGGGAAGGATCTGCTTTCAAGCTCACATGAATGTTGGCAGCATTCAATGCTTTGCAGGCTGCCAAACTGAGGGTCTCAGTTTCTTGTTGCTTGTTGGCGGAGGGCCACTCTGTGACCTCTCTCCATATGGCAACTCCCAACATGGCAACTTGCTTTGTCAAAGCCAAAAAGGGAGAGAAAATCTTTTCTCAAAATAGACATTACAATCTATGTAATATAATTGTGCACACACACACTTGCACACACACACAATCATGTACATCCCAATAAAAAGCAAAATCAGGATGAACTTAGCAGCAAGGTAAATGAGATAACATATGTAAATTACTGCACATAGAAAGTGCTCAATAATTGTACTTAATGAAATAAAATCTTGTTATAGATGCATTTTTAATTATCACTTGGTGTATATTTGGCTTTACAGAACAAATGGATGAAGAATGGATTAAGTCACTGGACTACAGATTTTCCTGACCCTAAGAACTTCCCTAGGTGCTTGTTAAACTACACATTTTTAGGTCCTACTCTTGGATATAATGATAAGTAGGTCTAATTGGAGTTGATGATTCTTATGATCAAACAACTTTATGAAAAATTGATTTGTGTTAGAAATTGTTAAACAAAGTGAACAGGTGAAATACTTAGAGTGTAAATAACCACAACTGTACATGATTATTATGTACGATGGATTGAGGATATAATTGGAAGTCCTAAACAGATATGTATGGCAGAATGTGAGGTGAATGGTGTATAACTGTGCTACTTATTGGTTGATAAGAAGCTGAAGGGGAGAATGGCAGGGATTGGTGGTCTCCTAAATGAAAATTAGAACGATTCAGTTATAAGAAAAATCAGTTGAGGACAAAAGATTTAACAGAAGAAAGAAAGGGAAGCAAAATTGAAGGTTTTATATGTATAAAAATAAATTCTGATAACTTTATATTCTTAACAAAGGAAACGAAACATTGAGATTGTTTGAGATTAGACATGAGGAAAGAGGGTCTGAGAATATTGGCTCATGTGACAAGAAGGGAAAATCTAGGGGGTAGAAATGAACCAGTGAGTCCCAAATGGGGGCCTCCAATTTTGAATATCAAGAGTATTCTAACTAAAGAGGAAACTGAGGGTGCACTGAACTTAGATGGGTGTAAAGAACATGACTCAATTCTGGCAAAGATGTGAGATTTTAACCCACTTAAAATGTCAAGAAATGTTTTTATTACAAAAGTTTTATAATATGTTTTGAAATAGGGAGCACGATGCCTATAATTTTGTTCTTTTTGCTCAAGATTTCTTTGAATAGTCAGGGTCATCTCTGGTTTCATACAAATTTTAGGAATTTTTTTCTATTTCTGTGAAAAATGACATTGAAATTTTGATAGGAATTGTATCCAACTTGTAGATTGCTTTGGGTAGTATGGACATTTTAACAATGTTAATTCTTCCAATTCGTGAACATGAAATATCTTTTCATTTATTTGTATCTTCTTCAATTTCCTTTACAGTGTTTTATGGTTTTTAGTATATAGATAGATCTCTCACTTCCTTGGTTAACTTTAATCCTAAGTATTTTATTTTTGATGTTATTGTAAATAGGATTGTTTTCTTATTTTTATTGTTTGGATAGTTCATTGTTAGTATATAGTAATGTTACTGATTTTTATATGTTGATTTTTTAACCTGTAACTTTACCGAATTTGTTTTTCAGTTGAACATTTTTTGGTGGAATTTTTAGGGTTTCCTATATATAAGATTATGTTATCAGCAAGCAGAGACAGGCACGTTAATGGAATAAAAACAGACACATCAACCAAAGGAACAGGTTAGAAATCCCAGAAATAAACTCAAGTACTTACAATCAATTGATTTTTGACAAAGTTTCCATGAATACACAATGGGAAAAGGATAGACTTGTCAATAAATGATGCTGAGAAAGCAGGATATCTACTTGCAGAAGAATAAAATTGGACCCATATCTCATATGATATACCAAAATAAACTCAAAATGGATGAAAGACTTAAACATTAAGACCTGAAACTATAAAATTACTAGAATAAAATATAGGGAAGGCTGGGCATGTTGGCTCAACGTCTGTAATCCCAGCACTTTGAGAGGCCAAGGCAGGCACATCACTTGAGACCAAGAGTTCAAGACCAGACTGGTCAACATGTCAAAACACCATCTTTACTAAAAATACAAAATTCGGCTAGGTATGCTAGCACATGCCTGTAATTCCAGCTCTATTCAGGAGGCTGAGGCAGGGGAATCACTTGAACCCAGGAGGTGGAGGTTGCAGTGAGCCAAGATTGCACCACTGCTCTCCAGCCTGGGTGACAGAGAGAGACTCTATCTCAAAAAAAAAAAAAAAAAAAAAAGGAAAAAGAAAACAGAAACATAGGGGAAAGCTCCCTGACATTGATCTGAGCAATGGTGTTTTTAGACAGAACTCCAAAAGCACAGGCAACAAAAGGGAAAATAGAAATGGGATTTCATCAAACTAAAAAACTTCTAGACAACAAAGGAAACAACAGGGTGAAGAGATACTCTCCCATGGATTGGGAGAAAGTATTTGCAAACCATACATCTGATAAGGAGCTAATATCAAAAATATATAGGGAACTCAAACAACTTAATAGCAAGAAAGCAAGAAACCCAGTTAAAAAAAAATGGCCAAATGGTCTGAACAGACCTTCTCAAGAGAAGAGTTATGAATGGCCAACACAAATATTTAAAAAATGGTCAGCATCTCTAATCATAAGGAAAAAGCAAATTAAAATCACCATGAAATATCACCTCATACTTGTTAGAATGGCTGCTCTGAAAAAGACAAACGATAACAAGTGTTGGCAAACGTGGAGAAAAGAGTACGGTTGTACTCTGTTGGTGGGAATGTTAATTAGTATAGCCACTTTGGAAAACAGTATGGAGGCTCCTGAAAAAAATGAAAATTGAATTAATCTATGATACAGCAATGACACTTCTGGTTATATATCCAAAGGAATTAAAATCAGTATGTCAAAGAGTTATCTATACTCCTTTGCTTATGCAGCATTATTCACAATCTCCAAAATATGGAAGCAACACCCATTAATAGATGACTGGATGAAGAAAATGTGGTATATATTCACAATGAAATACTATTCAGCCTTACAAAAGGACATTCTGTCATTTGCAATAATATGGATAAAATTGGAGGACATTATGCTAAGTGAAATAAGGCAGGCACAGAAAGACAAATACTGTTTGATCTCACTTGTATGTGGAATCTAAAAATGTTGATCTCATAGACAAAGACAGTAGAAAGTTCATTACCATAGGCTGGGGCTGGGGTGTGGGGAAAAGAGAGACAGAGAGAAAGGTAAAATATTGATCAAAGTGTACAAAGTTTCAGTTAGATTGGAGGAACAAATTCTAGCCATCTATTTCACTAGTTTCTGACTATGGTTAATAATAATGTATCGTATATTTCAAAATCACTGAAAGAATAGATTTTTAACATTCTCATCACAAAAAATAAGTTGGTGATGTGATATATATGTTATTTAGCTTGATTTAATCTTTCTGTAATATCTACATCAAAACCTCACATCAAAACCTCACATTGTACCCCATAAATATACACAATTTTTGTCAAAGTAAATCTTTAAAAATGTTGAGAAATGAACAGAAAAGTCCACAAGTCTTTCAATTCAAGATGAAGTTGAATGCTTTATAATATTTTACTATAATCCTATTGTCTGAAAAGATATATTTTATCAAATTTGAAAATAAGAAAAATACAGCCTCATGGCTTCTCTTAGAGGCCTTTCTTTCTTTCTTTTGTATACTGCACGTGGCAGGTTAACAGGGCTGAGCTGTTTTGATTAACTATCCAAATGTTTAATCAATACAGCAATAGCAAGATGCATTCTGGCTGTGAAAGACCTTGGAAAGGTCCCACTTGCCTTATGCTCCACCCCCAAGTGGGACATCAATGAACTATTACATGGTCCCTGCATATCAATGCAGTAGGGCTTAGACAAATACAGTGTTAATGGATAATTGTGGGTCACCTTGTCAAAATATGTTAAATGCCCCTTGAGTACAGATTTTTTCTCCCTATTAAAAATGACAGTAAACTGCGACCTTGTTGATATCATACATGCTTTCAGGAAGCAAATATTATTATTCAGTCTGTAACAGGTTTATTGATTTATGGGTCAAAAAATTCATTATGACTAAATTATAAAACACACTTTCTGTGTTGATACAACCCACGGTAATTGTGTGACAAAGTGCTGAACAGTCTTACTTGGTTTAGGCAAAATACCTTTATGAACATTCATTCAGAAAACACACATAGAGGCAGCTTCTAGCAGAATGATTCATAAGCAAGGCCTGTGTCCCTGTGTGTCTGGGATATCGACATAGCACAGAGTCAGGGAAAGTTCACTCGGTGACCAAGGTCCTTGGATTCTGGCCAAGAATATGCCATCTGTCAGGATGGTGGTACGTGCAGGAAGCCTGAGCCTTGGACTCTTGCCTCCCACTAGATCTATTCACAACGCTGTGAACACCCACACGGATCCTCCACTGTTTCTGGTGCTGCTGAAGGACAGAGGATTGCTTGTCATCTGGTGCCATGAGTCACAAGGAGACGAATTGTGGCACTTGGTACTTCTAGATTCCAAGTGCTGCTTCGGCAGCATGACACACAGAATGGAATGGGTTAGATTGGCAGTCATGTTTGAGGTTTTCTTTTTTCTTTTTCTTAAACATTTCTTAAGAGGCTGGTAAAATGAAGATTCGATGGCCAAGAATGTAGATTATGCAGAGAATGTCAGAATTTATTTGTCATTTTATCATTTGTTACTACTAAGCCTAAGATAATGCTAGGTCGAAACTGAAAATGAGATAAAAATGACATAATTGGCCAAGTTTTTTCTTTCACTATGAAACCCATTTTTTTCCCTTCTGAGAAAGAATGCAAAAATATTTAAAACCATAGGTTGTGTGCTAAGAGATGCATGAATATAGAAAGCATTATGCTACTTTAATGGGTCATGGAAAGAAAATGTGTCGTACAAGTATAACACACACATTCAGAATGTGTAATAAAGGGTAGTGTCATCTTTAAAAATGAAAGAAAACAGCATAAATAACTAAAATGGGAACCCTCTTAACATGTCAGTGATTTTATTAGAGGAATAGTTTCATTTTGTATACCCATCTTCAATTTACCTCAGGGTAGTTGAGTATAAAGTAACAGTTTACACATTATAATGAAATAGAATAAGCATCTCAGTTTAAAAATTCACTATGTGGTGGGAATTTATTCTATCAGAGAACCAATATAAGGTACACCACTCTTTGGTACATGTAATTTGAAGGTATAGATGCGTAAGAACACATACATGCAGTTTTTACAGTGTAGGAATTAAATGACATTCCATTTGAGGGCTTAATTCTATTTCACTGCAATATACCAGTCTTCATGTACTTCTGGTTGCTCATCTGGCCCTTTGAGAAGTAGAAAGAGACACCTGAAATACTCCTCCTATGAGCATAAACCATGCAATGGCTGCCAGATTATCCTCTAGGTATTATGACTAGAAGATGTTTAGAGTTGAAAGAAGCCCTAGAAATCATCAAATTGAAATTTCTTAGTTTCTTGATAAGAACAATGAGGTGCACAGATGTTAAGTGGGACAAGGCCACGCAGCAAGGTACTGGTAGAAACAGGATAGATGAAAACTCAAGATTTTTCCTGATGCTTTCCACTAAACTGTGCTGCCTCCTTCAAAAATAGATCAGCCTTTCCTTACACTAAAACATTTCATGTTCTCTGGAAATGGAAGATTATTGCTGTTGCCATGCTACTTCTCTTGCTTTATGTTTTGCCTTTGCTATATTAGCTAACATTTACTGAGAAATTACTATCTACCAGGCATTCTTCTAAGCATTTTATAGGTACTAATTTATTTAATCTTCACACAAGGCTATTATCCCTTTATAGATGGGAGACTATTTTTTTCATTTACCTCTATATGTTCTCTTTCTCCTCCTTTTTTTTTTTTTTTTCATAGAAGGGATTACCAAGGCTAAGACATTCCAAAAACTGCCCAAGGTCACCAGCTGGTAAGGGGTAGCCCTGACATTCTAACCAAGCTTCTTGGCTTCAGAGACTATTCTTTTCATTACTAAGTAGATGGAATTTCTTTTTTCCTCTAGTACATGGAGTTTCTCCTGAGCTTGATTCCAGTCCTCCTCAGCACCATCACTCACAAACAACAAGAAAGATATCCTAAATACCCTGGTTCATCATTACACATTGTGTGCATGTGTTAGACCATCACATGTTCCCCAAATATATGTACAATCCTTCTGTATATTAAAAAAAAAAGGAAGAAGAAAGAGAAAACACTAACAGTTGCAGCTAGCTCTCTATCACCCAGTCCGAGTGGTGGCGCTTTGTTGCATAATGTTCTTTCTTAGAAGATTCCTGGCCTGTGCTGCCCTAACTGCTGCGGCTAGAAGCTATGTTTTGATGCAAGATGTGTTATATATTAGTAATTTGTTTTTTGCCTATACACTGTTCAAAACTCATGTACTTTTTGAACAGACCTTAATGTAGCTGACGATATTTAAACCTGTCACTATTTTGGAACCAATATCAAGTATTCCAAAGTAATGGTGGTAATGTAGAAGCATCTTTATAATTTTTGTAATTTTAATTCTTGTAAATAAATATCGGCAGGTTGATATGCTTAAATGTAATAAGTTGTCAGGCTAATTATATCATTTAAAGTTTTATTAAGACCAATATTTAACTCTTCCTATTGACAATCATTATATTCTATATAGTTGAATTGGGCTTAAAATGATTAGGTTGAGTCACTTAAGAAACCAGCCCTTTGGTGAAAAACCTGCTTATAGCAGTGATACGAGAGGAAATTCCAGATAGAAGAAAATAAACTATTTTTTCAGAGATGAGTAAGTGTTCTTCACATTTTTTAATGAATAAGATGAGATAGTGTTCTCCCTTGCAAAATCATCACTCTTTGTGGCTTTGTATGTTATTTTATCTATTTCATTTATTTTTTTCCTGGAATCTCTATAAGGAAGCTCAATTTTTGTGTGCGCATTATTCTTTTTGCTGTTCATGACTTAATTTAGTCAGGAAATTATAATATGAACCCCCCAAATTTTAATGTCTGAATTTACACATTAAATAATTTTGCTTCTTTAAATTATTTGAAGCTTGTACAGAGCTTCTTATTGACAAAGTGCTTGACAATTATATCATCAAAATAAAATATTTCTCACTAATTTCATTACTTTTAAATATTGGTCAAATAATAAAATAATATTTATAATATATTAAAATTTAAATTGTTTATACCCATGAAAACCTAGACAGAGAAGGCCACATGAGTCAAATTGTATAATATTCAATATTAGTTTATTGCACAAGCAAATATATATACAATTTCTTTTCTTTTTTTCAGGGATGGATCTCACTATGTTGCCAAGGCTGGCTCGAGAACTCCTGGGCTCAACCAATCCTCCTGCCTCAGCCTCCCAAATAGCTGGGACTACAGGTGTGTGCCGCCACTCTCCCCTTTTTATTGGAAGAGAGTTCATAGAGGACTGAGCACCTATTTAGTATATGTTTCTAGGTTTGGTTACAATTTGTTAAGAAAAGTAGATTTGCAAACTCACTACTTTTGAAATATTAAAAATACATGCCATGAATTTCTACTTCAGCACAGATTTGGACAACCACCTTATGTATGGAAAGAAAATTTACTGAATTTAGTGCTAGGCATAGATGAGAATTTCTACTTGAAAAAAGCCCTTAAAACTTTTCCTGCTGTACTGTTCAATTATTAATATATTTAATGCACAGACGCAGTTCACAATGTGGACTGATGTGAACTTGTGTTGCATTGGCTTTATAAATTAGGACAGTTGATTTTACTTATCCTCCTGATTTGCCCAGATATGATCTCTATAAAAAATCACAGAAATTTTTGTAAAATAATCTTGCAGTTCTTGTTTTTGCTCTTTTTCTTATTTTTTTCTCAACAAAAAATTATTTCTGATGTTCTATTTTCACTTAAATGAAAACATTCCATGGAAGAAGTACAAAGAAGTAATGCTTTGAAATGACAGTCCCTGAATTTTCAAGAAAGCCAGATTCTTCCACATCCATAGTCTTCCTTTGTCCTGTTAATAATCCTCATGATGAGAGGAAAGTTACTGCCTAGTGTTTTATGACTGGGAGAATGGAGTAACAAGAATCTAAGTGGTCAGAAGTAGAGATTGTCAAGAATACAGGCTCTCAGGTTTTGGTGTCTGTGCTCCATCAGCCAAACTTTGCCCTTTTCTAGAAAAGACCCAAGTGGTGAAGTCACTAATTTTGTCATTGTTATTATGTACTGGAGAAAAATTAAATGATCCACCTCTTTATCATATACTGAACTTTCATGATAAGTAACACATGTGGAGTAACCAAGGCTTAGCCAACTAGGGATTAATGTTAGAAAATGAATTTTGCTTTCTCTATACTTGTTTAGAAATAGCAAAAGTTCTGTAAGGGGATGGCTAGGGGCCAATGGGAGAGGTGAAGGACCTTTATCACAGTATTTGTTTGGTCCCCATCAAAGTTCCTGGGTGCCATGGAAAAGTGTTTTTCTTTTCTGGACCCTTTACTTCATCTGCAAAATGGTGAGGCAGTTAAACTCTCTGGCTTGCTTTTATCTTACAGGCATTCAGTGAGGTATATAACCTGCAATATTTCTTAAAAGTTGTATAGGTTTTGCTGACCTGAATTCTTTCATGTTCTTCTTCATCCTACATGTGTAACTATTCCATGTTATCGGTCCCCACGATGAAAGATAATGGTGAGTTACTTGGTGAGGTTTTCATTGTTTTCATCAGAAAAATAATTTGGGCTGGAGCTGTGGAGAACAAGTGTTGTGTTTTTAACATGGACAAAAAAGATCATGGGATATGATTTCCCGTGCAAAGACCATTTTTCCAGCAATATATCATACCTCTTTTCTCCTGTGTGCGCAAAAGGACCTTCCTTCATTATGTGTTAGAAGGTGCATAACTCCAAAAGAGATGGAGTTAGATGAAAAAGAGCTATTCTGAACTCTACTGATTAAAATAAATGTGCTCATAAAAAAGGCAGGAGAGTAAATTACTACATCCCCAGAACAGCAGTAACTTATATACCAACAAGTTATTTTCGAGTTGCCAGAGGAAATAATCTGCTATCAACAAGGGGTAATTGCCTGAGCAAACTCATCTTTACATCTCACGCACGCTGTCACCTTGTATAAAAAAGGAGAAATGCACTACATATCAATTCAGAAAAGATTTTCTAAAATATTTTTTCTGAAGATTTCTTCCTTCTCCTAGGCAACTAAAAAGAGAGAACATGAATACAGTTCAGAACACATCTAATCTTGCTCCTGCCTTATCACTGAGCAGCATCGGAACACACCACAGATTGGATTCCACACCTCAGAGGCCTAGGGGCAAGATGAGAAAGGATCTATTTAGATGGGTATAGAAATTCCAATCAGATTTACCTACAACTGCCACAGGAGAGACAGGCCAGCTACAAAACCCTCCAGGATACATATTGCTATCATTAGCAAGAAATATCAATGCGATGTGTATATTCAGTTTTACAGAGAATAACAAAGGCAGAAAAACAGAGGCAGGAAAAAGGAGGGAAAGGGTGTTAAGCAGGACAGAGAGAAAGGAGGTCTCTTTTTGGGAGAAGCATTTTGGTTTTGCATGAGGAAAGAGCAAGTTTGTTGTTTTAAAAATCAGATGTAACTTATTTTAAAAACACAATTAGTGTACTTTAATTCTGCTTTCAGTACATTTTATTGAACTCAGGAAGTATAATTTTAATATCTGGGATATGGTATGTGTGTTAAAATTGCGAAGGAGTGGGTGAGTCATTAGGGTGATAGGATGAGTGTGTCTGAGTTGGAGAGAAACCAGAAACTCTGAAGACAATTGGCCCACAGCTTTTTTAATTTAATTTTTAATTTTTTTATTTTTTATTTGGCAAAGTGCACATTTTGTTGAAAAGATGCATTGAGAGGCCTGGGCTAATGGTCTGTCACTACGGTGATTTTTACTCACTCCAGAAAATTATCTGGATATGGAACTTTAGTATGTGCATCTATCTGCACATGCACCGGGACCTACATTTGATTAACTGAAGCCATGTCACATGACATACTACTGTAAAGACTTATGTTGTATTTGTAAAGGAAATATTTGTTTTCTCTTTAAATTCTCAGATGTGTATTGGAAAAAACAAAGTATTAACATGCTTAGCATTCTATAAAATTTTAATAACATTTTTCAATAAATACAAATCTGTTTTAATTTTTTTCCTCACTAGGGACCACTCCAAGTCCATATACACTTTGTTATAATGTTTTATGGTGTTATTTCCCAGGATAGGTTGTATGACTAAGTAACTGACATTCAAAGAATCAATGTGGATAGAATTTTTGCTTTTTTGTATGTCTTTAAAAGCACATGATGTTTCTTTTTTGTATGCTAAAAAATGTAGCATTTGACATTTTGGCTATCCAGTCATTAAGATCTTTCCTTGCCTTCTTGGATAATGCTATTGGATTCTATTTTCTGGCTTTATGACTATGTCTTCTCTATTTCAGTCAGTTTTCTTCCTTCTCCTGTCTTGCAGATGTCGTGTCCCCTTACCTCCCCATGTAACCCTAGATCTTTCCCTCCGGTAGTAATTCAGTGTATTCCCACAGTTCCAATGATCACTTCTACATGATGACATTTAGTCTTCATTGCCAGCACCAATAACCCTCCAGAGCTACAGCCTCTATTACTAATAAGACTGGTTTTTGGACAAGTCACTTAACTTCTTTGTGCCTTGGTTTCCTTCCTCAGTATAAACCTTAAGGTTGTAGTGGAGATTCAGTGCATTGATATAGGTAAGGCACTTAGGATATAGCCCTCAATAAGCAGTAGACATTATTACTATAGTTATTTATGAACATGTGACATTTTCTTCACTAGATTGTATGTTCCTTGAGGGAATCCTATCAATAATGATTTTTACATTGGTGCACCTCCCAAAGAGTCTAGTATAACATCTAGCACAGCAACTTTCACATATTATGTGCTTAATAAACATCTGTTGAATTAAAGAATTAAATTGTATACTTCAAATTATTACCTAAGATTCTTGTGCTTCCACACAATGACTTCAGATAGCCAGAATGTAGTGAGAAAAGCAACCTTTTCAGGCTTTACTCTCACTTCTCCTTAAGCAAAATTTAACCCACCCAATTTAGAATGTTTTCTATCAATTCCCATTCTGACTATTCAATAACGGATGTCTCTCTAGAGTAAGTCTTTTTTAAACAACAGTATTTAAAGAAAATAATTTTTTAAAGCACATTGAAGTGGCAGGATTTATTGCTTTGAAAAGTTTGTTGTGTTTTTAATTTTTTTACCCCTAAAGTGAATAGAAAAAATATGAAGAGTTTCTGTTTGAAATACTCAAGATACCAAATCAATGATCCAGTTAGGAAATTTGTGGGAATATGATTTTGGTGTGAAAGCCTCAAAATTCGGATAGTGTATTGTATGTTCTTACATAAAACTTAGGTTTTAATCATGAATTCCTCAAGGTCTCTGTTCCGTGGTCTGAATTGCTTTTGCCATTAAATGAGGGATACCTTAAACAGCATTTAGGTCTAGTAAAAACAGAAAAAAAAATGTGTTTTATGACAAAAAACCCAGGAAGTAAGACAATCTGATATCTCTGGCAGCTGAGCACTTGCCTTAATTCTGGATTGGGGCCCTTTGCTTTCATGTATTTAATTTTTTTTCTTTCATGTTTCTCTAGATATCTAAACCTCTAAGGAATTTTTACACAAATTATTTTCTTCCTTCCTCCTCATTCCCAAGAAAAAGATCCTTGGGAGCATCCTTAAGAGTTAAGCCAATCACGATTCCAGTCCTCATTAAAGGACACAAAGTAAACAAAATGTCGGAGACGGAAGTTAAAACAGAGGCGTCTCTGAAGGCCTGGGGCTGCTGCCATATTTAACATGCTATAAATGTTCTGAAAGTAAACAATGAAATCACCAGGTTTAGAGATGATATTAAACTCCTCAGGGTTCTAACAGACCCAACTGATGAGAGAACAAGCTACAGTGTAGTGTACGCAACTGAGTGGCAAATGAGATTGACTGGGGCAAGAGTGAGGAACAAAAGAACCCCAAAGATCTTCGTATGTGTAGCTGAGCCCCTAAGTCCATTTTTGGAAAACGAAAGCTCTGTGAACTATTTTTTCCTGAATACTTTCACTTAGCATTGATATAATTCCATCTTGGAAATCAACAGAATATGAACTGGCCTACACAAATAAAATTGGAAACAGAATAGAAAACAGCATTTTGGCCTTTTATAAAAAAATGTTGCAGCTGGGTGCAGTGGGTCATATCTGTACTCCCAGCACTTTGAGAGGCCGAGGCAGGAGGATTGCTCGAGCTCAGGAGTTCAAGACCCGCCTGGGCAGCATAATGAAATCCTGTCTCTACAAAAAAATACAGAAGTTATCTGGGTGTGGTTGTATGTGCCTGTGGTCCTAGCTACTCAGGAAGCTGAAGTGGGAGGATCACCTGAGCCTGGAGAGATGCAGAGAGCAGAAGTGAGCTGTAATTGTACCACTGCACTGCAGCCTGGGTGACAGAGAGAGACTCTCTCTCTCTCTCCCCTCCCCCGCCCCCCGCCCCCGCACACACACACACAAACATTGCTTACACACTGATAAAACCACATCATCTTCATGTAAGCAATTTTTTAATTTGATAAATGCTTTACTGCTTATTGTCCAAAGAACTTTTAATGTAAATTAAAATATATTTTATTATACAACTATTTAATATCTTTATATTATATTAAAATATTAATTATATAAATTATGTTACAAATGCATCAAAATAATATTTGTATGTTAGGTACTACTATAATCTCCATTTTACAGATGAGAAAATGGAGGTATAGAGAAGTTGAGAAAAACTTGAGATAGAAGATCCAGATAAATCATGGCTACTATAACTGAGATGGTGAAGGAGTGTCCAAATCTTTACAGACTGAAATATGTAGTACTCCCTATTGAAAGGGCAAACTTTGAAAAAATATGATGAAAGAATATAAAAGAATATGATGAAAATTAAAGCCGGTGGTCTTCCAAGCTATCCTCAGCACTGTGCTAGGATTCTTGGAGGTATCTTGGGGGCCAGAAGAGCCCCCAAGAGTCATTGTTGCCTGATTATCTAAGTTATATGTTGGGCTCTGCCCAGAAAGTTTCCATTTGAGGAAATTCTCTGTTAAAAAGTTTGAATGCCATTAGTGTAGATCAGATTTTTCTGTGTGTATTCAACCACACTCATGAACATCTTCCAAAATGCATCTGTTGTCTTGTTTTGTATGGGTACACAGTTTGTGACATAGAACTAGACAATCAGGCACGTCTAAGGATACGATGATTGTGTATATTCACCAAATCCCCTATTTTTTTTTTTGGTAACTAGTCTAGGCTACAATTGTACCATGTGATATCTGGATAGTCCAAGAAATGGTATACATTAAATGCAGAAATAAGTGTAATTGGAGCTCCTATTTATTAGATAAATGCAGTCACCTTAGCTGACTGCTAAAGAGTGTTAATGTAATGATAAGGCTGTCATTTATTACGTAATATTAATGTGAGTGATAGTAGAGGCACACTCTTCAGAAAACAAAGACAAAGTGAAACTGGGTGATACGCAGTAGCCAACAGGCAATCTTCCTTTCTGTGAATATGCTCAGGATTTAAAGATGAGCTCAAACAGTGTATTTGTGGATCAGCTCAGCTCCACATATTTAAAAAATAAAGCAAAACCTAAAGATAGATGATAGAAACCTAGTGGAAAAAAGGAATGCCACTGCTCCCCTTATGCTACCCAGTTTCAGATGTTTTCTCATCTTCAGTATAAAATAAAAAATATGATAAGAAATTGTTGTTCATAGTGGCTCCATTTGATAATTAAGCCATTTAAAAATAAACATTTGAAAAGAAGCTGAAGTAGGGGCTTTATCTCTCATAGGCAATAAGGCAGACTCACCCATACAGACAAGCATTTAATTGAAAATACTTTTTAATTACTGTGAATTATCTATTTCTTTCTTTACAGAAATACCTTCAGGAAAGGCAGTTGAACTAAATTTTCATCTTTATTTTGCTGAGGCAATCTATTCCTGCCTTGCTGTAAAGCTAAGGAAAGACTCTCTGGATGTATTAAAATATTTTCAGAAATGTATTTTTACAATTGAAACAAAACAACTTTCTCTTAAAAAAAGAAATGCTTGCTTATATTTACTTGTGAGAAAGCTGTGAAGAAGTTGATCAATGTATAGTTAAAATATTATCTTACATGAATAAAATTTGAGCAAATTTATAATTTCTGTTTTCTATAAGTTATAGATTTCAGGTCATCCTTCATTTTAATCTTTGTTTTTCTTTTCAGGAAAAACAATGCCTGTCTTTGTCTGACTCAAAAAGCATGCTGGTAATTTGCATATGAGATATATTTTATTAAGATGTTTTTATATTTGAAAGCTATGTCATCTCGGTATTGTCTAAGAAATACAGTTCACGATTTATGGACTTTTGTCTCTTGTGTGTGTGTTAATCAGTCTTAAAATGGTAGAAACATGCTGTCCTGCTAACTACAAACTGGGGAACAGCATTTCCCACAATCCTGAAAAAGTTTAACCTAAATCCAGATCTAGATATCAGAAAAATATAGCGTGAGATTCTATGCCTTATGACTGCTGTGGTTTGGGGGAGAAACCTGAGCAATTAATTCTGCACTAATTCCCTCAAGACTCTATCCCCTTGGGGGGATAATATGAATACAGTTTTACTTATCTGAAATAGGTTGTGCTTATATTCCTGAAAATTGTCCCATTTCTTGGATCCATTTAAAATTTTTCTGTTGGCATAGCAACAGATTAAAAGATCTACCACAGTTTTAAACACTTGCTTCATCTTTAAGAAAACAAAGTATATATTTATTTTACATTTAATTGCATCCTTTCTGTCTTCTTCTATCATCAGCCTATGCATGTGAGACTAACTTTTTCTCTCATTCCGCTAAGACATTCAACCCTGAAGTACATGTTTGTAATTCAAAAATACCATGCTAAAACATTTTTCTTACATTCATTTTTAATAATAAATTGTTACACTGAGGTAGTCCTAGGTCACATTTTTATTGTAAAATGTTTATATGTAAATCACTGAATACTTTTAGTATCAGACCTGTCATTGATTTTTACTTAAAGTACTGGATTTGAAAGCTTCTTTAAAAATATTTCCTAAGTATTCTTTCAAATACATTCTCCTCTTCTCTGATAAATGATGTGTATACAATTCTTGGGGTGTAAATAAAGGTTTTTGGGAAAGGATCAAGAATATAATTCCTAAATAGCTTAGTATATTTTTTCACTTTGTCTTAATAAATCAGAATTGGAAAGTAACATGAATTCAGTAAAGCATACCTCTTTCAGATCTAATCTGTAAAGCCAGGGAAATACCAATCCCTGTTCACAAAGTGCATAGGATCTGTTGAGGGCAGTGATTCTGATTCTCGAACATTGGAAACATCTGAAATTTAAAAATTTCCCTGCTCTCTCCCCATGTCTCCCTCCAAACCTGTTTTAATTATTTTAATGTGGGGCCTTTTCAGGTAAATGCTAATGTGCCCCCAGGGTTGAAAACCAGTAGTGTAAGGCAAGAGCATCAACATAGGCCAACCATCTACAGATCCCATCTCACTCTGCTTCCTACCATCCCTGGGAGTAGATGGCTAAGGACAATTGGAGGACAGGTTGTCGAAAATGAAAAGGTAAAAGCACTAAGAGATCAAAATGTTGAGTCGTTTATTGTTTATTGATGTTATTTTTAAAATGGGATGCCTAGATTGGGTCTGCAGTGTATATAAAGTAAGGGAGTTATTACTTCTCTTGTTCTGGCTAGATACCTCTCTTCTTCAAGTCTGTGGCTGTGTTCAGCTTTCCACACCTACATAAAAATGTTTTTGGCTTATTCCCAATTGTTGCCAACTTTCCAAAAAGTAATAAAGTGAAATAAAAAAAGTATAACAAAATAAAATTAGCAACAGTTAAACTGGTTTCTCCCATTTTGAACTTGTAGAATTAAGAATTTTAAATTACAATATTCCTTATTCACTTTTATATAATTTCATCATTCTTATTCTGTCATCTAAGTTCTATCACCCAAAATACTCACTTTGTCTACCTGCCTTGTGTAACATGCATGATCTCCAAAACAGAGATGATTCTTTAGAAAGCCAAACGTGTGGATTATTTTTCTGGATGACATATCCAAATATGATGCTGTCATAGCTCACTGCAACCTCAAACTCTTGGGCTCAAGTGATCTTCCTGCCTCAGCCTCCTGAGTAGCTAGGACTGCAGGTGTGTGCCACCATGACTGGCTGTGCCTTTTTTAAAGATGGGGTCTTGCTATGTTGCCAGGCTCTTCTTGAACTCCTTGCCTGAAGCCATCCTTCCACCTTGGCCTCCCAAAGTGCTGGGATTATAGGTCTAAGCCACTGTGCCTGGCCTTATTATTCATTCTTATTTAGGAAAATAAGAGATGTCATCTGGTTCAGACTAATTTCTTGTAGCCAGGAAATGGCACAATGAGTGCCCTACAGCAGTGGTTTCCAAGCTTTTTGACACCAGAGACCGGTTTCGTGGAAGACAATTTTTCCACAGATGGGGGTTGGGGGGATGATTTTGGGATGATTCACATGCATTATATTTATTGTGCACTTTATTTCTATTATTATTACATTGTAATATGTAATAAAATGATTATATAACTCACCATGATGTAGAATCAGTGGGAGCCCTGAGCTTGTTTTCCCGCAACTGGATGGTCCCATGTGGGGGTAATGGGAGATAGTGACAGATCATCAGGTATTAGATTATCATAAGGAGTGCACAACCCAGCTGTCTTGCATGCAAAGTTCACAATAGGATTCATACTCCTATGAGAATCTAATGCTGCAGCTGATCTGATAGGAGGTGGAGCTCAGGCCATAATGGGGGTGATGGGGAGGGGCTGTAAATGCAGATAAAGCTTCTCTTGCTAGCCTGTACGCTCACCTCCTGTTGTGTGGCCTGGTTCCTAACAGGCCACAGAGTGGTAGTGGTCCAGGGCCTGGGGACTGGGGATCCCTGCCCTGCAGAACAGATAATGTAATACACTAAACTCCCCAAACTTCATTAGTATACAGCATGAAAACATTTATGACCTGAACTAAGGCGGTAAACTTCCCAAAACTTCTTCAAGTTCCCAGACTTCCCAAAACTTGAGAAGTTTTGGGAAGCTTACAGCCTTAGTTTGGGTCTAGGTTTTGTTGGCTAGAGATTTAAAAATTACATCTAATTTTTGTCTTTTTGACTCAAGGTAAAAGAGAAAGGATATTAGATTTTTCTTCTTTCTTCATATGCTGATTAAAGATTTGGCTTCCACCTCTACCCCTATTGCTCTCCTTTCCCCATTATTTTGTATGCCCCTCATAAATTTGCCATTTGTGAGGAAATATCGAAATTTAAATACGACACCTTATTAAGCACTGCAGAATTAAGTTTTGGTGAGCTCCAAAATCGCAGTGTCATTATTACTGCTAAAGACAAAACTGGGGAGTAAGGTTTAAGATTTCTTTGCTGTTGTTTTTGTCTTTGGAATATATACCACAAAGGATGTGCAGAATACAGGTTGCATATCCCTAATAAAAAAATCTGAAATTTGAAATGCTCCGAAATCTGAAACTTTTGGAGCACCAATGTGACACCACAGTAGAAATTTTTACACCTGATCTCATGTGATGAGTCACAGTCAAAACTTAGTTTCATGCAAAAATTATTTAAAATATTGTATAAAATTATCTTCAGACTATGTGTATAAGGTGTATGAAACATAGATGAATTTTGTGCTTAGACGTGGGTCCCATTTTCAAGATAGCTCATGATGTCTAGGCAAATATTCCAAAATCTGAAAAAATCCAAAATCTGAAACGCTGGTCCCAAGCATTTTAGATAAGGGTTACTCAACTTGTACTTTATTGAAAAAATTTGAAATAAGCCTTCCCTCTAGATGATTGCATTACCAATTTAATGCACACTTAGGTTCATTTGTCTCATTTTTTTTTTCAGCTTTAGAGTTTGCTTTTTTTTCCTTTTTGAATTATTCTTCCAATCAATAAAATATTAACATGGTTTTAAAGTCAAAGTTTTATTTGAAGACATAATCAGAGAAGTCTCACTTACATTCCTACTTCCTCTACTCTTCCCCCCCTTCATCTCATAGATGTTTCTTTTTCCAAAAATAAGTATGCACATTTGTATCAATCAATCAATCTATCTATCCATCCATCTATCTATATCTATGGTTTTCTCCCTTCTTCCCTTATATGAAATGTAGCATACATACTGTACACACCATGTTGCACCTTGCCTTTTCATGTAATAATATCCTTAAGATTAGTCAATATCAGTATGTAGAGATCTTTCTCATCCTTTTCACAGCTGCATTAGGTGGATGTACCAGAGTTTGTTCACATAGTCTACTACTTGTAGACATTTGGGTTCTTTTTAGTCTTATGTTATTACAAAATATGACAGTCAATACCGGTGTGAAATGTCATTTTTCACATATGGAGAAATATCTTCAGAGTAGACTCCTAGATATGAGACTGACTAAGTCAAAGAAAAATGCTTATGTCATTTTAGGGTGGCGAGTTAATTCTTGCATTTCCAGAATATACTGTATTTAGCAACGAATCCATGTATTACTATTTTTTGTGTGCTATTGTTTGCTAACATTTTATTCAGGAGTTTTGCATAATGTTTGTTAGGGACTGAATTATGTTCCCCCCAAACGCATGTGTTGAAGCCCTAACCCTCAATGTGTCTTTAGAAGGAGAAAGGGCCTTTAAAGTGGTAGTTAAGGTTAAATGAGGTCTTAAGAGTGGAGCCTTAACCCAGTAGGACTGGTGTCCATATAAGAAGACGAGGAGACATCTGGGATACCTGAACAGAGAAAAGGCCACCTGAGGAGACAATGAGAAGATGGCCATGTGCAAGCCAAGGAGAGAGGCCCCAAAAGAAACCAAGCCTGTAAACCCCAAGATTTTGATATTCAGCCCCCAAAACTGTGAGAAAATAAATTTCTGTTGTTAAGCCACCTAGTCTGCAGTATTTTATAATGTCGACTCTAGAAAATTAGCACAATGTTCATAAGTGAAGTTTGACTTTAGTTGTCTTTTTTCTTGTGTAGTTTTTGTCAGGTTAGGTGTAAATAGGATACTCATTTCATTTAAAAAGTATTTACATGTTTTTCTTATGTTTCTATGCTCTGGAATAGTTTATGTGGAATTGGAATTATCTGATCTTTGAAGTCAAATAGATTTCCCCAGAGAAACTGGTGCTGGTGTGTTTTTGAATAGCTTTCAGATAACTTTATTTCTTCCTTCAAAGTCATCTCTATCTATTATTTTGACATCAGTTTCCTTTGTTTTAAAGTTTATCTGTATAAAGTTGTGCAAAGTAGTCTCTTAAAATTCTTACAATTTCCTCTGTTTAAATTGTTATTTCTTCCTCGTCATTTCTTGAGTGTGAGTACTTTCTCACTTTTTTTTCTAGTTTAAGTTGTCTACTGGTTAAGTGTATTTTATTAAATTTTTCAAAGAATCAACTTTATTTATTAGTTGACTTGTTTTTCCTATTCTAATTCAGTAAGTTTTACTTATTTTTTACTATTTTCTTCTCTTTTTGGTTAAATTCTTGCTTTGTTTCTACCTTTGAGATACAGGTTAATTTTATTAATTTGTATTATTATATTTTATTAACATAAATATCAAAAGCAAAGTATTTTCTTATGAGCACTGCTTTAGTTATATCCCATAGATTTGGGTATTTTTGTAGTTCATATCGATATTATTTTAGAAATTCTGTGATTTGTGTTTATATTTTTTTCTTTTTGTCCAAGAGTTAATGAACTTTTCTAAGTAAAAGGACGTTTTTGTTCTTATAGCTTTGTTATTAATTTGAATTTTATTGCATTATGATCAGAAAATACTCTTTCTGTTAAAACGAGTTAATGGGATTTATTAAAGCTTTGTGGCCTAATAGTTGTCATGTTCCATACATACTGAAAAAGATAGTATTGGGTCAGGGAGGGATGGGGATGACTTGCTAGATTTCTGTTTTATTGTTCCCTTTTATGTTGTTATAGTGTAAAGAGCTTTTTTTTTTTTTTTAATGTGTCTTCTGATTCTTTTCTTTCTGTACTGTCTTTTACCAATGGGGCCCTTATCTTCATTTTTCCTTGTTTCCATTCACCAGCCAGCCTCTAGGTGGAACTCTAATTGCTATGTGCCTCCTTTTTAGAGTGGGGCCTTCTGCTAGTGTCTCATCCAGTCATGCATACTTTTCAAGGTCCATTCTGATTTTCCAGGAACCATTTGGTAGAACCTACCAGGTCTCAGATCTCTCAATATTTCCTACACAGGCTAGATCCGTCTCTTTCTGTAGTGGAATCCTAGTTGATCTTATCTGTGTTTTGCCACCAATGGGATCCCCATAAGCACTCTTACCTCCTTTCTGCCTCATAGCCCATCCCTTACTGGCAAGAATGACAAAGAGCCTGAGATTTTACCCTACTTGTAAGTGAAACTGACACAGTTTTGTGGTTGCTGGTAGAAGGTACAAAACTCTTGGATTAGAGAAGAAGGACTGTTCATTAGTACAAAAATAACAATAATTAGAGTTTGGTATTTTTTTTTTGTGCTGGTTCTCCAGGACTCAGTTTCCACAGAGCAATGCAAAAAGGGCCATAGGATATCTGCAGGTAACTTGGGTTGAGTTACAGGAGGATCATCCTGTGCTTTGCGAACACAATTTTTTTATTTTTTTATTTTTTGTTTTTTTTTGAGACAGAGTCTCGCTCTGTGCACAGGCTGGAGTGCAGTGGTGCGATCTCGGCTCAGTGCAAGCTCTGCCTCCTGGGTTCACGCCATTCTCCTGCCTCAGCCTCCCGAGTAGCTGGGACTACAGTCGCCTGCCACCACGTCCAGCCAATTTTTTGTATTTTTAGTAGAGACGGGGTTTCACCGTGTTAGCCAGGATGGTCTCGATCTCCTGACCTCGTGATCTGCTCGCCTCAGCCTCCCAAAGTGCTGGGATTACAGGCATGAGCCACCACACCTGGACTGTGAACACAAATTTTTATATTGGGCAAGTGAGCACGTCTCTCTTTGTTCCAGATGGACACACTATCTCTAACTTCCATGGCTGTTTGCCATCCAAACAGCCTTGAAAAGATAGTCCGGAACAAAGTGCTTTCCTCACAAATTGTGCAGAAATTCACCCAGTGGAGAGTTGTCCCCTCACTCTCTACCCTGGAGAATGCTCAGGAGCTACCTCTGCTGGTGTCAGGTGTTAGTTTTTCCACTCACATCTTAGTCTTCTCTGTCGCCCAGTTTCTGTTGTTGGTATAAGTTCTAGATGATATTATTTGCCCTCTTTCCATCCTAGATTTTTTTTTGGAATATATATGGTCGTTTACATTTAGGCGGCTACCACTATTCTATAGAAACCTGGAAACTCTCTAATTACTGTACTGATTCCGTAGTAAAAATTATCTAAATAATAATAGTAATAATTATATAAATGCTATATGTTGTTTTTACATTTTTGAATCCATATATAGACACACTGTGGAAAGCAAAAATAGATATAGAATAGACTGTATTATTGACCTTGATGATATGAATAATTGTTTAGCCAATAGAAATTTGTAGGAAGTACAATGTAGAAATGTAGGTGTAATTTCCTTATCTTATATAAAGCACAATAAGTATATATTGTCTAACAATGTAACATCATAAGTAGATATTGTCTATTCATTCTTAAAGAATCAATACAGGCTTGAGGTTAATATATCATGATAAAATATAGCTATTAGAGACATTAAAGTAATAAAATATGATCAAAAATCAAGAATTAGGAAGAGGAGGGGGTGAGAGGTAGTGTAATTGGTTTAAGTTCTTTATTTTTCATAGCAGGGAGTGGGTAGATAACTATCTGAAAGTGATAAAGATATAGGTTATAAATATTTTATTTAAAATACAGTACTAATCACCATAAAAAGAGGTAAAAACAGAAATCATTAAAAGAAATTGCCTCTGGTAATGGGAAAGGAGATGGTTTGAGAATAGAACATTTCACTTTTCATTTTATACTCTTCTGTACTATTTTCGATTTTTGTTTTACCAAATATATGTACGGTTTTATAATTTAAAACAATTTTATAATTTAAGAAATAGTATTTTAAGAGCTGACGAAATACCTCTAGCATATATAGCAGCCAACACAAAAATCACTAGAGGGTTGGAGCCCTCTCCTTAGAGATCTCTAGATTATTATTTGTTATAATGTGGAATCTATATGTTATCAGCTCAGGACACATATTACTGCACTGAATGAGACATTATATTTATAGCCTAAGGCTAGGGAATGAGAGACTGGATCAAAACATTCTATAGATAAAGTATGCCGTTTCCTAGATGATTGTAAATGCAGCTATGAAACTATTTAAGAGAAGAAATTCAGAGACTCTCACTCACTTAACCATGGTGAGAGTCACCATTGCAGGTGAGTGAGAGTCTCTGAATTTCTTCATATGGGTGGTACCCAGTATCAAAAGTATGCTGCTTAGAAATGGAGAGGAAAGATAAAATACTACACTTAGTTGAGCTTACTTATTAATTTCTGAAGTTTTATCTTCAACATCGGAATGCATTATTAAATGAGGCCTTATCTCTCTTAGGAGAGCTTTTTAAGAGAAGTATAATAGAAAAGAATAGGGTAACTATCTGTGTTTTGATTCTAGTTTCTTCTAGTTAGAAATCTTGTGCTTTCTAAGCACTCTTATGCTCAACTTTTTCATTAGCAAAATGCAAATGATAATTCTAATTTTACAAGAATTGTTTTAAAAATTAAATAAGATAATGAACCTATGTGGCTACTTTCTTGGCCTCATTATCCCAACTTTGGTCTTTATAACAGAAGACTTAAATTTGGAGATTCTACATTTTTAAAATTGTCATATGGTGAATTCATTAATTCATTCCTTCAGTAAGTATTTATTGAAGGATTACTATGCACTCCACCGTGCACTGTGCTAGGAGCTGGGATACAGTTTTGAGAAAAATAGACAAGATGCCTGCCTTCATTGAGCTTATCCTTAAGACTGACATTGGCCAAAATATCATATTAACAATTGCAAACTGAGATAGGTACAGTGAAGAAATTCAGTTTTATGATAACAGGTGGCAAAGAAACAAAGTTTAAACTAAGCAATCAGGAAAAGTTTCCCAGAGAAAGGGATAGTAGACCTGAATATGAGAAATTAATGAGAGTTGTATAGGAAAAGATAGGAAAGAAGAGTTTTCCAGGAAGAAGGAGCTATATAAATAAAGGTACAGGGGCTGGAGGAGCAAATTGTGATGCAGTCGAGGAAGACAAAGAGGGTTTCTGTGACCCACAGAGGGAGTGAGAGAAGAATGGTGCAGATGTGGTTGGGGCAAAGGGCATAATCTTTTTGGTCCCCAAAGAACACCTAGTATTTGCCTTGTAACTGTTTGATACATATATGAGGAAAATAATAATCTTGAGATTTATTAAATGCTTTCTCAGAGTCAGACACTTTGCTTGTATTAATTCATGTAAATTCATCAGTCCTCAAAACAATCTTGTGAAGTAGCCACATCTCTGTTTTACTAATGAGGGACAACTGGTTAAGTGGTAGAGTGTAGGTCAGAAATCAAATAATGCACACTCTTAGTCTCTATACTGTATTAATGCCTTTTAGGAATGAGTGAATGAATGAACACATGAAATTTTGATTTGCAATCTTGCAGACTAAAATGTGAGCATTTTTTTGGACTATTGTGCATTAGCTTGATGACTTCTTGTACTTGGTGAGCATTTTATTGGGATATAAAATAAGGACTATTATTTACTGAGCACTTATGTGCCAGGCACTGTGCAAAACTATACATGCATTATTTCAGTTATTTGTTTATATGGCTATAAACCAAGTTAGTCTGTGAACTCATTGAGATGAGGGCCTTGATTTATTCATCTCTGTTCCAATTGTGCTTGTCCTATTGTTTGTCTTCAATAAATCTGCTTTTCCCCATTCTGTCCTTTCATTCCATATTCAAGTGCAATTTTAATTGCATAAGTGCAGGGAGAAGGAGTAGGTGACCTTTTAAGAACTTCCAGGAGCTGTAATTCTGAATGTCCAATCAAACTGCTGTTAACTCAAACTACATTTTAGTATGTAGCAGCAGGCTCAGTTAATTGAAAGATTGTCCTTAAATTCAAAAAAGGCTGATGCAGAAAGATGCTTATAATTCTCAGCCAAATGTACTTTCTCTAAAATGTGCTTTAACATGCCTAATGAAGTTGTTTACTCTTATACTCCATCCACATTGAAAAGAGTTGGAACTGTATATTTTTAAAGAGGAGATAATGTTGCAAGACTTTTATGGTTATTTATCTGGGTTCTAATCCATCTGAAATGATTCCATCCTCAGGCCTGCCTCAGGCCAAAACAATGTGAGAAGAGCTAGGGCTGACCACAACCCCCAGTTCACTATATCCTTCTATTTATAAAACTAACATCATAAAGAGATGTTGCAAAATATTGAGGTTAAAAATTAGTTGCACTAAAATAAATCCTAAACATATAATAGGGTATTAAAAAAGCTGATTGCCACAATACAAGTCAAATCACCTACAGTTAAATATATACATGTAATATATATTACTTACAAAGCTATTAATCCATTTTAACAACATCCAGGGCACTAGTGTTAAGAAATTGCCAAAAAACACTAACTAAAACTTACAGAGATTAATAAAAAGCATAATTATGAAGTAGACGTGGGATATTCCAGTTGGTAAATGAGGCTGTGAAATTGCCTTTTGTTAAAGAGGAGTATTAATGACTGTGTTAGTACTTGACTAATATTTTATGATACTTAGTCTGCTATTATGTGGAATGCTTTATACATCATCCTAGATGATAGTTTAGAAATAGTTTTAATGCCTATTTTATACCTTGCTGGGGAATTACAGTCTGTTGATACTGAGTATCTGTTAGAATAATTTAAAAATGAAATACATATGGTTAATGATAATCAAGAGAAATTATTGAAGCTTGCCCAATCTTTTAAATCAGTGTATTCTGGGCTCATTTTGGTGACTATATGATATTTGTTTGACCAGATGGAAAACTTTAAACTGTATCCTAATATAAATCAACACACAATTATTTGCCAAAATAGTCACAATTTGATGATAACATGACAGAGAGGGCAGGAGAAGCTGGATGCTTACTGACATTTACCTCCAGAGAAGCTAAATTTTAAATATAAAAAGAAGTACATACAACATTGCATTAAAAGGGAAGCTTTGTAAAATAAATTTGCATAAAATTAAATGACAAGTTTATGCTTTATTATTCCTTCTGTGGTTCTCCACAGGGTAATTCCATCTCCCCTTGCTTCCTCTGTGTGGACCTATTCCATGATTTAGCTCTTAGGTCTTTGGTCTTGTTACAGCTGCTGTGAATTTAGGTGCTGTTATCTACTCTCACGTCTTCAACTTTCGTCTTTATGTCAATAATACTCAAATCTCACCTCTTTGATCTTGACCTTCAGAACTTCAGGATCTTGTCTCTTGCTTCTAGCTGAACATTTCAACTTGGCTCTCTGGCTGTCACTTCACCTTATTTAGTGTGTACAGTTACACTTTCCATCCTCCCTGGCTCCTCTTCTGGATACTCCTATTTGTCAATAAGTCCCAAGCCTTTGTTTCAGTGCAGTTTTGGAGTGCCCATTTCTGTCAGAACGGCCACCTCTTTCCAATACCTGGCCTGAAAATCTCAGGGTGTCTGCTTTGCTTATGCAATAAATGTTAGTGTCAAAAGTACACATATTAGTCAGGGTTCTCCAAAGATACAGAACCAATGTAAATATTTTTATACATTGTTTTATACATATATATGTACACACACATATATATAGGTTTATGTGTATATATATGTAATTTGTTACGAGAAACTGGCTCATACAATTATGAATGCTTGGAAGTCCCATGGTTATTTAAAAGCTGGAGCTCTAGGAAAGCCATTCTTGTACTTTTTGTCCAAGTTCAAACTCAGAGAACTGATGATGGGAGTTCTATTCCAATTCCTAAGGCCCAAGAACCAGAAGTACCAATGGTCTAAGTCCCAGTCAGAGGGCAGAAGAAGATGATGTTGCAGGTCAAGCAATCAGGCAGAGAGCAGAGAATTCTTCCTTCATCTGCCTTTTTGTTCTATTCAGGCTCTTGACAGATTGGATCATGCCCACCAACATTGGGGAGGGCAATCTACTTTACTCAGTCCACTGATTCAAATGTGAATCTCTTCTGGAAACCCCTCACAGGCACACCCAGAAATAGCGTTGATATGGTGTGGCTGTGTCCTCATCCAAACCTCATCTTGAATTCCCACATGTTGTGGGAGGGACCCTGTGGGAGGTAATTGAATCATGGGGAAAGTTCTTTCCTGTGTTGTTCTCAGGATAGTGAATAAGTCTCACGAGATCTGATGGGTTTATAGGGGAGTTTCCCTGCACAAGCTCTCTTCTCTTGTCTGCCACCATGTGAGATGTACCTTGTACCTTCTGCCATGATTGTGAGGCCTCCCCAGCCATGTGGAACTGTAAGCCCATTAAACCTCTTTCTTTTGTAAATAGCCTAGTCTTGGGTATGTCTTTATCAGCAGCGTAAAAACGGACTAGTACAAGCATTTAACCAGATATCCGGGTATCCTGTGACTCAGTGCAGGTGAGGCATAAAATGAACCATCACAGCCTCCAATACTGTAGTACCTGCTGGAGATAAACAGATGACTAAGACTTACTTGCAGATCTCAAGGCTCTCAGAAGACCAATGCAGCTTTTTTCTTTCCCTCTGTTGTTAACCATATTGTACTCTGGTGTGACACTAGGTGAATGTGAGCAAAGTGCTCCAAAGGACTTGTGCCTAGAATTGTTGGAGGAGAAATCCCAGAAGAATCTAGATTTATGCCAGTCTTGAAGACTAAGATTCCCATAGGGGAGAATTGGCAAAAGACTTTGCAGGCAGAGAATTGCAGAAGAAAAGTTAAATTTTTTCTGTAATTCTTCTTGTATTTTTTCTCTCTTTCCTGTACACTGCTAAATCCTAGTCCAGATGTCAACACACTTGCCGCTCTTCTCAGCAATCTCTTAAGGCTCTGGTTTTAGGTTTAGGCTTCCTCATTCCCATCTCCAACATGATGACAGATACATCAATTCTCCCTAACTCTGTTTACATTGTAGAATGTCTTCTCATAATAAAATTCAGAAATCTTAACCTGAAAATCAAGGCCTTTATAGTCTGACACTAGACTTCTAGTGTAATTTTATTTCCTGTTATTAGGATGCCAATAAACAATAAATAAATAAAACAAAAACCCAAGGAAATTTATATATTCTTCAAAAGGGACCAACTTATTGTTTTCTAATGATTCATTGGGGGATAGTATCACATGTGCTTTTGGAGCAAGAAGAGTCCTGAGTTCAAATTCTGATCATGTGGTATTGGACTAGTTATGTAACCCCTCACTGCCCATTAGGGTCTTCATTCATAAAAGGGATGACACTGTTAATAAGTACATACTGTGTGTGACTCTGATCTAGGAATTGTTTCAGGTACTAGGGATATTGTAGCAAACAAGTCCCAGCACTCTGGCAGCTTGCATTAAAGAAGTAAATAAATTAATGAATTATATATTTTTTGATAATGAAAGTGTCATGAAGAAAATGTATCAGACTAATAGATAGAGATGGAGAATGGGAATGGTGGAGAGTCCTTATTAGGCAGGGTGGTCATGAACAGGTTCATATTTGTATCAATCTCATAGAGTTTTTGTGAGAATTAAATGATGTGACAGTGCAATGCACATAGTAACCCCCCGCCTCAAGGGAATCTTAGCTATTATATAGTCCTTGTTTTTGACTTCTCTGCATCTTGCCTCATACTATTGCCCCATCTGGAATGTGCTTCCTCTTCTCTGCTCATATTTCACAACTCCTCAAGACATGTTTGAAGCCCTCCCCTCTTCATGGATTTGCATTATGTATTTCCAACCCCAGGAAACAATATTCTGACTTAAAAATACCTGCAGATATTTAGCCTTTAATTGTGTGCAGGCTTATACCATCTCTTGACATAGACTATTTTGAATTTTTGAGTTATGATTTAACTTACATCTAGGAATTTTTGTTTTTTCAAAGTAGAATATATAAGTTCTCCAAGGACAAGAAATGACATATTCTTTGGATTTTAAAAATAAAGAGGTCATGTAAATGAAGGAGATGTAATAGATATTTGCTGAGTCATTAACAAAATACTTTATAACCATTACCGTTAGCCCCCAATCTAGAAAGAATCATCTTGAATATGGAATTGTATGGCTTGAAGACCTGGAGAATAGTATGGGCAGTTTAGATCAATATTTAGACTGGCTTTCAAGGTTCTGTGATATGAACTCCCCAAAATGCCCAGATTAATGCTTATTCTCATTGTAAAAATTTTTTCTGTTATGCAGCACTTCGATCAAAAAGGATTTTATATACTTATTAACATATTGTATTATAACAACAAAGATGATGCCACTTATAGTTTGCTGAGTGGGAGTAATATTTACATTCTTAATTTAAAATTATTTAAAGAGCATATACTATTTGAAGAGAATGGGAGTTTAGGGCTGTACATTATTGCTTTGCTGCATGCAATTGGAACTAAAAAAAAAAAAAGAAAATGGCAGCCACAGCACTTTATGTCTAAACTGTCATCTAGATGAAGCTCTGGTGTCTGGTTCATTTCCCAAATTGGGTAATTGCAGCCATGAAGAAATACTGAAGTTTCCTCAGTGTCAAGGAGTCAATAACATCATCTTTGTATACAAAGCACAGCCCATAAATGCTAAAATTTCTCTGTGATTTTGTGTAATTCTCTTTTCATGAAATGAACTTTTACCCACCAGAGCAAACAAACACTGAACCAGCTCTTCATATATACAGCAAGGGAAAGGCATGTGATTATTTAGCATTTGAGGCTTAGTCATCATCTGCTTTTCTTTCAACTATTTGTCCAGATTATTTCTTTCATGTTCTCTTAGGCTTTCTTATCAAACAAAACAAAAGCTTTTAAAAAAGAAGCAATACAATTTTATGATAAAAAGAAATTAAAGAAAAACCAAAGAGTAGAAAATAAAAACCATTGAAAAGCCCATCATCCGGAAATAACCATTAGTCTATTTGCTCACATTAATTTATATGTATGTATACAGGTTTATAAAAGTTTTATTTTATTTGAATTGTTGATGACCTGCTTTTCTGTTAATAATGTACTATAAACATTTTTTATGTCATCAAATACTCTGTAGTGGTGTCGTTTTTATGGCTACTTGTACCCCTTTTACAGATGTGCCTGAATACATTCAGCCAATACCCTATTTGTGGTCATTTATGGTGTTTTAAATTTTATTCTGTACAGTACAATGTTGAATATAGGCTGAAGTTTAACATATTCTTAATTTTTCTTCTGATTCTTGCCTTATTCCAATTTTGTGAGTTTATTTCGGCGTATGTATATTTATATATGTAGATATATACATACGTACATACACTTTAGGCATAGTTCCTATGTTAGTACTAGCATTCAGCTAGATAGCCATTGATCCATGACCCTGTATATAAAGCTATTGGGGCCAAACATGTTTTCAGAATTTAGAATTTTTAGCATTGAGAAAGATAGTACAGTGCATGTACATCACATTGCCAGTGAGGACTGGGACAATATCCTGAAATAAAACTTATAAATATTTCTAAAATAAAATATATGACCATTTACACTAAGTGGATAAAAGTCGATTTGAGTCGGATTTTGCCACAAAATGTGTTTTGGAGTTACCGTTTGAAAATATTTGGTTTTCAGATCTTTTAGGGTTTTAGGATTGTGGATAAAGTACTGTGAACCTGTAGAACTGTTAAAATGCATTTCAAATGCAGAGTGATACATAGAGTCAAGTGATGAAACTATAATGCATTTACATTTTACACTTTCATATTTCAATAAGGCAATATTAAAAATTCTTGGAGGAAAAAAGCTACATAACACCTCTTTTATTTTTTCTAAACTTGTTTGTAGGAAAGAACACCAAATCTTTTCTGGTCTATATCTAATTGAAATCACAGGAGCTTCTGAGCTTCTCAAACAAGTTTTTGTTGTTGCTGTTGGTATTTAACCCTAGTCTATTATAATAGAATTCTGTATAGTACATACACTTTTCAGATTAGGAATTATGGTATTTAAGGATACTAACCAAAATATATAAAGATGAATAGCAGGTAGGAGAATAGAAAACCCAAATGAGTGTTATACAGTACTAGCTACCTGACATGGTATGAACAGAACTTACAGGAAGAGCCCCATCCACCACCCCAGTGGACGGGGCTATCATCATTAACAGGAGGCTCAAACCAGTGGACACACAAAGCTGTGTCTACTGGGAAGCCCTGCAGAATATGGATAGAGGTATGCTCTAGCTGCTGGGGTAATGAACCCAAATAAATACCTATAAAAATAATGCAAGACACCCAAGGTGCAGCCCTTTGGAGCATCTGCAGCAGCAGCAATAACATGCAATGAGAAATAGGCTCTGTGTTGCTGCTTCATGGAGCATATCCCAGGTCTAGCCTGCAGAAGAACTAAGCTTTTCAGTCCCAGCAGAAATGAATGGAAATCCTAATATTCCTAGGGATAAAGTGAGGGAAGATCAAATGGGCAAACACGAATTTTTTCTTATAAATATATTGAATGGGAGGATTAGATCACTGTTTTGTGTGATAGAGATGGCATGGATCTAGAAGTTGCTCACTGTCTCAGAATAATTTGTGCGAACTTCAGAATCTCATCTAAAAGCTTAAAGAGTCTTAAGAAAAAATAAAGGATATTACCACCCAGATATCTTATCTCTTTAAGGGGAGAACTTGTTTATTCCCAAATGAAGATTTATGAATCATAGTTAATCAACATAAAAACCTTATCAATACTAATGTAAGTGAAAAGATTGCATTTCTTAAAGAAAAAAATGATGCAAATGTCATTATCTTATAATATACTCTGCTATTAATGCTTATATATACTTATAATATAACATGGTTCTATTATATTTAGAATGGACTTTTCATCCATGTGGCTGTGATCAGTTCCTAAAGCAGAGGAATCTGCAGCCTAATGACACATCAGGAATTGATGGAACCCCAGCAGACAGCTTCTATGAGGTGTGTGGGTGGCGGATGTGAAATCAATAAAAAAAAAAAAAAGAATAATTTTTTTTGTTGTTTTTGTTCACTGTCATGTACATTAAAGCATGTAGGCCTCTTCCAGTGTATATGTGTAACTTTCACAGTAAAACCTGGATGAAAAATCAATAGAAATTTAGAATCTTTCTTCATAGGAACTGTATGATTACTTTGGCAGGAGGAAAAATAAACATGTGAAAACAACCTCAAGTCAATAAAATGTATGATCAGTAACATATGATGAGTATATAAGTTATAGCATGGGTAATGTTGATTCTAGCTAATTACCTTTGAAATTGAGGCAGGGCAAAACCAATTATGAGCTAGAGTTCATAAGTAACTCCAAGAACTCCAAGTTGAAAATCTCAAGGAGAGAGGATTGCACATTGGTAGTCCTGTGGAATAGAGAAGAGAGAAGTCATTCCAGGCAGAGGAATGACAGGCAGAGGGGAATTTTGGGTAACTAGACTGGGCTCATTCTAAGTGAGCAGCACATGCAGTTACAAAGACATCAACACTCTTGTGTCTCCTGCTGCAGAGGTCTTGATGCTGTGAATGATGACTAATATATCTTTGGGTCTCCGAAGTGACTGATTTAATTCTATCATTTTTGGAGGCAAGGCTTTATTATAAGCTACACGAATAACTTCAAAAAAGGATTAAATTAACTGTGCATTATTTACTGCAAGTGCATTTCTCTGGTATAAATCTGTCTTATTTATGCATTAGGATGAGAAAACAGTTTATTGCCATTATATATTGTTTAGGGCTGAAGGTTACAATCTGTCACAATATCTCTTCAAATCCAAATTCTGGCTAATTAATTCTTTTTATGATAAATTTTATTTTATGCTTCAATTATATTTTATTTTATAAAATATTAATGTAATAAATGAATATAATAAATATCTTATGAGCAAATATTTATTTATGACTCAATTTTGTTATATGATTCAAATTAGTCATGGTGTTCCCGATAAAAGCTCCCTTAATTTTTTTTAAATTAATAAAAAAAGATCAGATTGCTGAATTGATTGTGATTAAGGTATAGTAAGATGTCTAAGAATACATCAGAAAGGCTTGGGTTTAAATCCCAAATTCATTATTTGCTGGCTATGATTTGGGCAAATTACTTGCCTTGTCTTTAGTTTTCTTGTCTATACAATGGAAACAATAATAGTACCTATCTTACAGAGAGTTGCAAGGAAAGTCAAATGAGATAAGGAGTGTATAGTGTGTTGCCTTGACCATAATATTTTTTAATAAGCACTGATTATTTCTTTTGTTATTGTTGTGAAGATGTTGATGATGACTTTAGTTTTATTCTCTGTTGAATCTAGTGCCTTTATAAATTATTTGACCTCTTTAAGTTAAATTTTCTTCAGTTGAACAATTTTACTAGATGTTCTCTTAGGTTCCTTTGCTCTAAAGTTCTATAAATCCATTCTGAATTTTCCAAAAGTCTTCAACAGAATCCTAAAGGAAATGGAGATAATAATGTATAATAACATAATAAATATATTTTGACATTTGTCCTTTTTATCCCCTAAATTAAAAAACATGATTGGATGATAACTGCAACTCTTTGGGGAGTAAGGTAATAAAAAATGTAAACGCTAAGTAGCTATGAAGAATTTTTCATTGTTGTTAGCAACTAAATGTCCTAACAACACATTTGCAGGTTTTGCTGATTTATCAAGAATCTGGACATTCAAAATTAACCTTCTTAGCATCTTGAAATGACTTATTCAACATCGTTACTCACCATACATCATATTGTTTTATTGGAAAGAAGTATCCATCTACGTTCACTCAGAAAACTTTTATTTGGAGCCAGGCTGTATGGTGGGTTTTTAAAGAAGATATTTGATTCAGTGAAATCAGTTATCACATTGAAGAGCAAAACTACCTTGAGCAGAATCAGTAAGCTTAGTAGTTGCATGCACAGGCCCTGGAGCCAGACTCTGCATGTTTATTCCAGGTTTACCCTTTACAGTCATTCAGGGCAAGTACCATCCTTAATATCTTTCAAAAGAAACACACATATATATGTGTGCGTATATACGTGTATATATGTATCAGCTTTATTGAGATATTTTTTATGTACCATACAATTTGCCCATTTAAAGTATATAAGTCAATGGTTTTCACTATATTCACAGAGTTGTGCACAACCACAATCATTTTTAGAATATTTTAATCACCTCAAGAAGAAAACATGACTATTAGCAGTCACCCTCTATTTCTTCCAACCCCCTTAATCATAGGCAGCCATTGCTTGACTTGCTGCCTGTAAGGATTTGCCTATTTTGGACATTTCACATAAATGGAATTATATAATATGTAGTCTTTTCTGTCTATCTTCTTTCACTTGGCATAATATTTACAAGGCTCATCCATGTTGTAGCATGTATCAGCACTTTTTCCCTTTTTATTGTCAGATAATATTCTATTGCATGTTGAATACATTATATTTATTTATCCATTTATCAGTTGATGGACATACGGGCTTTATCCACTTTTGGATTATTATGAATAATGCTGATATGAACATTTGTATAAGTTTTTGTGTGGAGATGTGTTTCCACTTCTCTTGTGTGTATACCTCGGAGTAGAATTGCTGAGTCACATGGTAACTCAGTTTGACCTTTTAAGGATGTCTTGAACTCTTTTCCAAAGAAACTACACTATTTTCTTCTACCAGCAGTGTATGTGGGTCTCAATTTCTCCACATCCTGGCCAACACTTACTATTTTCTGTCTTTTTGATTATAGCCATTATCATAGTTGTGAAGTGGTATCTCATTGTGGTTTTAATTTGCATATGTGACATATGATTTGCAAATATTTTCTCCCATTCTGTGGTTTGTCTTTTCACCTTATTGAGAGTATGCTTTGAATCTCCCTTAATGTAAAATGAGAAAAATAATGAATTTCTATCTCATAAGTTTGTTTAGGAGAATTAAGTGCGCACATTAAGTGCTTAGAATAGTGTTGGTATATAGTAGATGTGCAATAATATTAAGTATTAGTATCATAACCTCATTTAAAATTATGCTATTTCAGTTAAAAAAAACCTACAATACTTAAAGGCTTCATTTGGAGAAAAAGAGATGACTAAGGGAACTCAAATGCAAAGAGGAAATGAACTTGATTTTTTATGGTTTCTTATTCAATGTTTAATTGTTTTCTCTCCAGGGATTATTGTAATGGGTTTAATTAAAATAAATTAATAAGTTTTTATACTCTTCTTTCTTTAAAATAAATTCAACTTAGTAGTTGAAAGTCATTCTAAAAATAAGCTGTTGCTATATAGAAGAGAAAGGCAATTTAATGAATAGATTTGTTTATCATGATAAAAAGATTTTTAGTAATGGAAATGAAATGCTCACTTTATGCATATATGTTAAAAAATATAAACTCTTCTGAGGGAAAAATATTTTACTTTAATAAGTGCAACAAGCCTTTTTCTTACTAACTATTCCAAGTTATGAAATTTTTCACTTCTATTTTATAAATGCAGAACAAGATTCTTTTTCAGAATGCTGACACATCATAGAAGGCATAAATTAAAGTCATGTTTACAGATGCAAGCTCTATCATTTTTAAAATAAAGTAGAATATTTTTGTTTTTAGCAAAATCATTTCCTGTATAACTGTGATGATCACAGAAAAAAGATGGAATGAGCATTTGGAGTCATAGAAGGTAAACAGGAATAGCCATTAGCTACTAATGGAAAAAAGTTCAGCAGGGGCATTAAATCTGTATTACAGAGCCACCAGTTTGTATTTTATCATATTGATAATGAATATCAACATTACCATTGAAACAAAACTAGGCATTCTCTCTTTAATCCCAATGGGGAATTTAAATCAATAATGCCCACATTATCCATCTACGTGCATATCTATATATGCACATGTACTCTTAAACTACGAAAATCATATAATGCGTTTCACTTTCATTTCAAATCTTTAACACAGTGATGTACTTTTCTATTCTTCCAATCAATTTATTCTGTTAGTGTTTTTCAGCATTTTAAAATCCCTAAGCTAAGTCAATAATGTTGATTACTTACCATAAGCACTGTAAACGCTATTCTAATACAGGTTATTTGCAATTTGACATCCTCATCTATATGCATTATTCTGCAAGGAAAATTAAATGAAACCCTTGATTTAGAATCTGAAACACTTAGAAGTAATGATCCTGTTTACTGATTGAGTGAAGTTGTGGTTTTTAAGCACTACTTAATAGAGGAAACAAAAAGCAATACTCAAATAAAATGGAAGCATCTGAGTTACTTTAGAAAGCATTCGTAGTTAAGAAATAATAGACTTTTATTTTATTTTTCCCTGTTTGTGCCTCAGTGCTACTTAGCCAACATTGTTATTTAGTTTAATGTTACCCATTTTTTGAGATGCCTGATCTTTCCAAATTTAAACTTAATGAATGCTATTAGTAATTCAAAGATTAGTAGAACATCATTCACATAAATCAAGTTTTCTATCATGTATTTGTTTTAATTACATTATTGAAACAGACTTCTAAAATATCTTTTATAAAGGGTTAATTTTATTTACAAATATTAATTTATCTTTTAAATGTCATGTATTTGACAGCATGGGGAAGTTGTCACAGTTCCCTTCTTTCTGAAGTGAAATACTATAAAGTAACTTTTATAAATGTTTGTGGAAATTTTCAAACCAATAAAATTGCTGCAAATCCTTCTATGAAAATTGAAACATTCAAACTGCTTTGCCTTCTTTATCTTTTGTTTGTACAGCTAGTCTCAAGCCTCTATTTCAAATGAGAATATCCTAATAAAATCAATCAATCAATCAATCACTTTTGGATGGCCGGATAGTTAGCATTCAACTTAGCCTATGTTTGTATTTAAAATTAGGAATGAGTAAACTTATTTCAGATAAGATAAAATTTAAAAAAAGATCCTAAAGTATGTATGGTATTTTGGATTGAAAAAAATGTAAATAATGAAATAATTTGAGAAAACAAAATAATTGATATTTTATTTGGTTCTAAATTTTTTTTCTAAATAATTAACATGAATTGAGTTGAAATTTTGAATTTCCTGCTCTTTCCAAATAGTAAAATATCTTTCCTCTCTTAATGTCTTCCAACTGAAGTGCATTAGACCAAATAGAGATATTATGCATTGTTTTGGATATATGCTGCCATAAAAAATTAAGTAGACAATTGAACACTTAAAGCAACTGAAATACTAATAAAAGTATATTAAACATCAAATGTAAAAATTATCATTTCTAGATACATAATATTTGGTTTATGTAGCTTTACTTAGTTTATCAATTTCAATAATTTTACTTCAATTTTCTTTTAAATAAATAACTTTAGTCTGTTCTGGAGACCTGAAAACAATTCACATGACAAATACTTAAATTTTGGCAAAAAATCCTTATGGATAGATAATACTCAGGAGGACACCTTATACCGAAGTACATGGTTTTAATGTATAGCAAATATGTAGTCAATATACCTGTTCTCTCTCATTAGGCTACTATAAGGAATAAAAGAGGAACTTGAATGTGGAAATGTGGAATCCTCACTAAGTCAGGGAGTGATCTACAAAAAATGTCATTGAAATTTACCCGTAACATAATGTTGAAAATATTTGAAGGATATTTTTAATTTGTGTTTAATGTACTACTTGTCCATTTGGACCTTCTACTGATGTTATATTGAAGTGAGAAATTAGAGTAACTACAAACACACATATATGTATATGTGTATGTATTTCTTTAATTTCCAATATACTGGGTCAAGAAAATTGAGCATAAATAAGGCAAGACTTTCTAAAATAATTCAGAAGTTAAACTGTAAACTGGAACATATTTTATACAAACCCACATACGTATATATATATATATAGTATATTTTCAATTTCTAAAATGGTGGGTTCAGAAAATGAAGATTTACTATAAATAAGTCAAACTTTTCTAAAACAAACAATTCAGAAGCTTAAACAGACTAAATTAGAACATGGTTAGTTGATGATGACAGCATTTCTTTTCAACACCCTTAATGGAGAAAAATAAGATTAGGAGACACCTATCCATTGCACTTCAGGCTTTGAAGTGGAACTGCCTGTAGGGGTTCTGTATAATGTTAAGTACTTAAAGTTGATCAACACCCTAGACATGATAAGGAGATTAAGTGCTGATTAAACTCCTATCAGTAGAATTCAAATAAGTGATCTGGCAAGACAAGAGCTCTAATCAAGTACTCTTGTTTGTCTGTCATTGGCTCTATATCAGATACAATCAGTCACCATTTCTTTTTTCTGTTCCAAGCACAGCTACTTCAACTTTGATTGTTTATACATTAATTTTGAAAGTACTTGTTATGGTTAGGTGTATGGATTCCATTTATCTGTGCTTAGGTGAGATTATGGCACTGAATTATAAGGAGAAATCCTTGGCTAGAAGATGTCTATAAAGATTAAGTTATATTCCCCCTTTCCCAACAATTAGCAACACTAGTCTGTTTAGCAGAGATCAATTGTAATTGAGGAACTGAGAAAGGGCAATAAACAAATTATGGTGCTTTCACTGAAGTCTGAAGCCTGTTGGTTTACAGAACCTCTGTTATTTAATCCAGAAGCCCTGTAGGTTGTAAATTATCCATTACTGTTGTCACCAGACCCTTAAACAGAAGTTATGTACTAGTTTAAAGATACAGGAAAAGAGAGTCTCCTGGTCTTTGTTTCACCCAAAACAGACCGCACAGAATTAGATCAATTTTTTAAATATTTAGGACTTCAAGCTTTTCAAATAATGTAAAAAAGTTTACCTTTCCATAGCATGAGAAAATATAATTGGAACTGTTTAGTTCTTGTAACCAAAAATCTGATCCAGAAGCTTCTTAAAATGTTTATTTTTTGACTGACTCCATGATCTTACGATTTCGCTGAAGCCTAGTAATAAAATAATAATTGTGAATTTCACATTGTTTTAAGATTGTAGGTTTTTTTTTTTTTTTTTGAGATAGGGTCTCACCCTGCCACCCAGGCTGGAGGCTGGAGTGCAGTGGCGCCATCTCAGCTCACTGCAACCTCCGCCTCCCAGGTTCAAGCGATTCTTGTGCCTCAGCCTCCTAAGTAGCTGGGACTAAAGGCGTGCGCCACCACACCTGGCTAATTTTTGTATTTTTTAGTAGAGACGGAGTTTTGCCATCTTGGTGGCCAGGCTGGTCTCTATCTCCTGACCTCAAGTGATCCACCCGCCTCAGCCTCCCTAAGTGCTGGGATTACAGGGGTGAGCCACTGCACCCGTCCCAAAGGATCTTAAATTCTATATTCAGTACAAGAAGGATAATGGGATGATATACATGAAAGACAATATTTTTTTTAATTATTTGAGGAAGACAAATTGTATATAATAGTACAACAAGAAGTAGAGTCTGAGGGTTCTTTCTTAGCAAAATTTGGCCACCTTGCTATTTGAAATGTATGTTTTCAAGGGCGTAAAATTAAATACACAGGACATCACAAGAAAAGCAATATATGAGTAAGCCTTCAGAGTCACAAAATAACATTTTAAATAAACAATCTGTTTAAAATACATTCAAACAAATGGGATAATAATAATTGGAATAGTGCCATCTGCTTTTGAAATTAGTAAAATGTTCATCATATGTGTGACTGCCATGGAAATGAAGTGTCTTATAGATGCAGCCCATTAAAAGCAGATGGACTATATATAATGTTAAATAGAAAGTTACAGGATTTTAGAGAAATGCATGTGTCAATATTTTGTAACATGTCATGTAGTTCAGAAACCCTAAAAGACCATCTGACAATCAAAAATATCTAATCACCAAAATGCATTACAAATAAAATTGAAAATGTACATTACCACTTGGGAAAAATAATCATCATACCTGTGACAAATGAAAGGTTAAAGCTTTCATATTAAAAAAAGACATTTGCAATTCAGGAATAAATGATGTCACAATAGAAGAGTTTGCAAAAGAAGCGATGGAAATGACTCTATGGCCTCAAAGATGTAGAAATAAAAACAGCAACAGGATATCTTTTTTTTTTCCTTTAACTTATTTGATTGGGAAAATCGACACAATCTGCTATATTTTAAGGCATGAGAAAACTAGTGAAAATTGGAAGAAATGTAAATAGGTTTTCCTCTGTGCAGGTAAGTTTGATAATGTGTGACAAAATGTTTAAAATCCATATATTTCTCTTGTTTTAGGAAAATACACTAAAAAGTGGTATGAAAGGATGTAAAATAAAGGATATTCTTCACAACATTGTTAATAATACCAAAAAATTTGAAACAACTTAAAAATTCATTAATGAGAAGATGATGAAGTAAAGTTATTGGTATATACTCAGTGGACTACTACACAGTTATTCAAAATGAAGACACAGATCTATATTTATTGGCATGAAATTATGTCCTTGACATATTATTGAGTTTAAAAATAGCTACAGAATATGAACCTATTTATTAAAAATAATTATATGAACATCTGTATTTTTTCAAATATAAATGTATATATAACATACAAAATATATTAGTATGTGTATCTGTATCTATCTATGTATCGATATCTGAAAGAATCTTCACCAGAATATTGATTATGGTTAATCTTAGACTTTCAGGGTTTTTTTTTTTTTTTTTGATGACAGCATAACAGGTGTTATTCACCTGTAATTTCACCAAGATACATATACTTAGTTAAATTTTCGGGAGAAATATTTCATAGAATACCTGCTATAAAGTAGCAGATTTCAGGTTATCTTGAATGGAAAATGTCTTTGGCTGAAGAAAATGCCATTATTTACTGTACACTAGTCCTTTTAGTTGCAAATGTCCCCTTTTACTGACCAGAGGGTTCACTTGAAGAACATTTGTTCTTAATAACAACTTAAAAAGTAGAAAAGAACCTGGATTTGCATTTACTTAGTCTTTTCAAAATTAATAGACATGCTCCTTAGAAATGTGTCAATAATTGTAATAGTAAAATGATACTACTTCAAAAATTAGCACAGTGAGCATATCAAATAAAATCTATAGTATTGCTTAGCTTTTTTTCCCCCATGTTACATAAAGTAAAACTTGGGGTGCCGCTTTTCTTTTATAAGTCATTAAAGAAGAGCCATCTATCTTCTGCAGCAAGTTCTGCTTTACTCTTTGCTTTTATTTCCCCATTTTAATTGAAAAAACAATTCATGGAAATAAGAAACAACTTGGTGACACGAGTAACCCTCTGGAATAGGGGGCAAAATTCCATTCTCCAATTTGCACTGCGGGCTTTAAAAATTTTTTTAGAAACTGTGTTTTTTTTTTTATCGCATATCCTTTTTCTCATCTAATATGCAGACTTGCTGTTTATTGAGGTGTAAGTTTTGTTTGTGGAATGAGTATCAGCACAATCGGGAGCCACAACATAGTTTAAAGAGTTATCCTGGGAATAGACAATGCAAAATATTACCCACATTTTGCAACATAGAATTTTTTTTATTACCGCAGAATAGAATAAGTAGAATAAAGTAATTTTTTTAAAACAAGAAATTTCTGTGTCTTTGAATGTTGACTATGTCTGGGGGGAAAATACAAATTGGATGCCAGCATGGCAGAGAAGGCTGTTATAACCACTAGAGGTCTTAATGATTGTGAATGGCTGAACATTAAATTTAGCTAGGATAGTCCACATGAATTATGAAGATAGTAGCACAGATTATGTGAACAGAGCGGGGCACTCCATTGTTCTATTAATAATATATACATCTCTTTACTGGGTCAGTATAGGTAGTCATTTAATTAAATTAACCACATGAGTGTCATCTTTTCACTGAATAGTGTTCAACCCTCACCCGCTGTCCCACTTTTTGGAGTTTCCAATGTCTATTATGCTACTCTGTATGTCCATGTGTACACATTGTTTAGCTTTTACTTGTGAGAACATGTGTTACTTGACTTTCTTTTTTGAGATTTTTCAGTTAGAATAATGGTTTCTGGTTCCATCCATGTTGCTGCAAAAGACATGATTTCATTCTTTTTTATGACTGAGTAGTATCCCACGTTATATATAAACCTCATTTTCTTTATCCAGTCATTCATTGATGAATGCTTAGGTTGATTCAGTGAGTTTGCTACTGTGAACAGCACTGTGATAAATATATGGGTGAAGATGCCTTTTTAATATAATGATTTCTTTTTCTTTGGATATATGCCCAGTAGTGGGGATTGCTGGATTGACTTGTAGTTCTATTTTTAGTTTTCACTTTCTCTTTTCTTTCTTCTTCTTCTTCCTCGTCTTTCTCCTTTCTAGAGTAGTAATAATAGTAACAATAAGTAATAATAGTTTATATTTTAAAGTAACAAATTCTATTTTCATTTAAAAAGTAGAGATAGGCCAGCACGGTGGCTCACGCCTGTAATCCCAGCACTTTGGGAGGCCGAGGCGGGCGGATCACGAGGTGAGGAGATCGAGACCATCCTGGCTAACATGGTGAAACACCGTCTCTACTAAAAATACAAAAACTTAGCCGGGCGTAGTGGCGGGCGCCTGTAGTCCCAGCTACTCGGGAGGCTGAGACAGGAGAATGGCGTGAACCCAGGAGGCGGAGCTTGCAGTGAGCCCAGATGGTGCCACTGCACTCCAGCCTGGGCGACAGAGCGGGATTCCATCTCAAAAAAAAAAAAAAAAAAAAAAAAAAGTGGACATAATATCTTCAATTGCATCTAGTTTGGAACATATTTTTCTTATGAAATAGTATTTTTCTCAAATAAATATTTTACCTGGTAGAATTCAAATAGGTTAAGAAGGAATTTCAAAAGCAAATGCTTGTTTTATTGAGACATGTTTTGAGTGGAAATAAAAGATTTTGATCATTGTGGCAAAAGACTTTCTTGCTGTGGGAGCACAAAAATAGTCCGTTGCTGTTAACGACTATTTCCGCAGTCCCTGTGAAGTGTTCTTATATGGCAGGAATGCATAATCACTAGAAATTGAAAAGTGTAAATTTTCTTGGTAAAATGTAAACAAATATTTAAAACAGAAAGTTTCAAAAACATTCAACATCTCTGCTGATCTATCCTGATAATACTCTATTTGTCAATGGCTAAAAACGGACAAAACCGTATTTTCTGAATAAAGCATGGTTCGACAGATTATTAATTCTTTTGCTGTTTTAATTCAGGAAGACCTTTTGGAGAGTGAAGTTTATATAATAAATCATTAATATTCCTGAAACACTTTAATCTTATGGGGAGACACCAAGCTAGAATATCTCAAATTGTGTTGTTATTAGCATTTAGTCATTTTATGATCTAAAGAAAGGAAAATATGAAGCATGTGACTATATGTTTATATGTAAAATGGAGATTTAGGTTGAGATACATTCATGCATTGCTTATGTTGGGGATATATTCTGAGAAATGCATTATTAGGTGACTTATCATTGTGCAAACATCATAGAGTGTACTTACACAAAGCTAGATGTTATAGCCTACTACACACCTAGGCTATACTGCATAGCCTATTGCTTCTAGGCTACAAACCAGTACAACAGGTTACTGTATTGAATACTGTAGGTCATTGTAACACAATGGTGAGTATTTGTGTGTGTAAACATAGAAAATGTATGGTAAAAACACAGCATAAAAGATAAAAAATAGTGCACCTGTATAGGGTACTTACTGTGAATGGAGCTTGCAGGACTGGAAGTTGCTCTGGGTGAGTCAGTGAGTGAGTGGTGAGTGAATGTGAAGGCCTAGGACTTTACTGTACACAACTGTAGACTTTACAAATACTGTACACTTAGGCTACACTAAATTTATAAAGAAATTTTTTCTTTCTTTAATAATAAATTAACCTCGCTTTAATTTCTTTTTACTTTATAAAGTTTTTAATTGTTTTCTTTTTGATTCTTTTTAAATACCACCTTAAAATATGAACACATTGTACAGCTATACAAAAATATTTTTTCTTTATATTCTTATTCTATAAGCTTTTTCTATTTTTAGAAATTAATAAATTTTAACTTTTTAAACATTTTTGTTAAAAACTAAGACACAAACACATGTATTAGCCTAGACCTACACAGGGTCAGAATCATCAATGTCACTGTCTTCTACCTCTGCATCTTGTTTCACTGGAAGGTCTTCAGGGGCAATAACACGCATGGAGCTGTCATCTCCTATGATAATGATGCCTTCTTCTGCAATACCGCCTGAAAGACCTGCCTGAGGCTTTTTTACAGTTAACTTATTTAAAAAAAATAAATAGAAGGAGTATACTCTAAAATAATGATTAAAAAGTATAGCATGGTAAATATATAAAACAGCAATACAGGCCTTTATTATCATTATCAAGGATTATGCACTATATATAATTGTATATGTTATACTTTTATATGACTAGCAGTGCAGCAGGTTTGTTTCCACCATTATCACCACAAACATGTGAGTAATGCATTGTGCTACATCATTATGATGGCGACAATGGCATTAGGAAATATAAAATGTTCACCTCCATTATAATCTTATGGGACCAGCATAGTATATGTGGCCTGTCATTGATCAAAATGTTGTTGTGTGACACATGACTGTATTAACTGTACAACTCAATCTTTCAATTGAGGTATCTACACTGAATAATGAATTCAAGAGAATTCACTTAGTTGCAACTCCACTAAACTACAAGTATTTTTTGGTTCTCTAGTTCTTGCTACCTTTTTTTTTCTTTCTTTCTTTTCTTTTTTAGGTTTTACACATTATCGTCATTGTATTTGAGTTCTTAAACTGAAAAATAACATTAACCATCAACAAAAGACAAAGGGAAATTAATTTAATTTATTTTACTATCTCCTTCCTAGAGAGAGAACTACTAGTAAAAACAATTTAAGAGTTGGCAAACATTTCGTGTTTATCTGTAAAGTTGTTTTAAACCTGTTTGTTATGTATCCCAGGCATATTTATTCTTTGGTAAAATTCATTATTTTTAAGAATAACAATATGAATTCCAAACTCTGGGAGACTTTTATGTTGCATTAAGAGACACCAAGGAGAGTTTGCTAATCTGTTTCTTCTAGATCATGTGAGACAGAACCAACAATTTGCCTCAAACTGGAGAAACCCTGGCTTGTTATCCTAGGGCCCCACCAGGCTAGAAGAAGGAACTTTCCTTCCATATCTATTTTCAGCCCAGGAAAGGTCAAGTTCAGCCCCTAGAGCTACCTGACATCAGTTTAAATCCAGAGCCTGATATGACAAACTTGTAGGCTTATCTGGCTGGCAGGACCCAGTCATTTTAGTTCCACGGATCTGAAAATCTTATTACATATTACAGACCATGAGTTAAGCATCTAAGAATTCTTCAGTGTCTCTTAGGTAAATCTGAATGATATCTTCTTGGGACTCTTTCACTCAAGGAGTCCCAGAGAAGGTGTGTGTCTGACATTCAGAAGAGAGCAATCTAGACTCCAATCCTGAGCAGTTTGAAGAAGCTCCCATTAGCTGCCTGATGCTAATGGGAAATCCATGTTGTCAATTTGATGGGAAGAGAAGCTCAGATAAGTCCAGGCAGATAGGGGATCCAGAGTGAACCCTTGAAGAGCTAGAGTTACCATAGGCATCTAGGACCTCAAACCTTCTCCCAGCCAGATGACACTGAGCCTCTTGGAATGTCATTGGTGGATACCCAGTCAATCCCTTGGAATGACCTTATGAATAGTGACAGATCTGGAACATGTAACCATGATTTCTAACCACCCTTTGACAAGGTCTGTGATGATACTTGTGTGTCTAAATGAAAATGGACAGGTATTGGGATCTGAGAAGATTATTGAAGAGAGTTTTTTAGACATTCTGGAGAAAGCGAGGGTTGTTACCTGGGCCTTCTTTATTAAACACCCAAACTGCAGTCAAAACACTGAGCCATGTATTTTGTCAAGGATCCCCTGAAAGTCTGTACTCCAAGGGGTTGATGGCTGACTCAGCTTCAAAGAAGGGCAATCAAAGGTAAGTCAATTAAAATGTATTAAATACCTACTTGATGCAAGCACTGTGCTAGGTAAGCCTTACAACTTTGTCAAGTCTTCATCATAAAGAAGAAAAGGAGGAAAATAGCAGTTTATTACTATAATAGCAATAATAAAATCTCTTATGATGTAAAAGGAGATAAAAAATAAGTAAATCACACTCAATCTTTTAAAATCCTTCTTAAGATGCTGTTGGATCAGGGATTTCATAAACTCACATCATTTTCCTGCTGGCAGTTACTTTAGGTCTTAAGATGAGATTGAGACTACCTATGTAAATCCTGCAGATCTCAGTGAAGTTTCCATGGGGACTGTACTCACTTTTTTGCAATAAGGGGTAGCTTACTGAGCCTGGAGAAATGCCACCGGTGTCAGAAGTCTGAGAATCCCAAGGGCAAAGATATGAAGTCTTACATGGGGAACTGAGAGAGATTGGTTTAGTGACATTTAAAAAACTGAGCTGGTATCAAAGTTAACAGGGTTGGATGAGGCCTGTTCTGACAGATTATTTTATTGAGTACTATATGATATTTTAGAATGGAAGTTCTAACTAACCAAACTTGACTGATATTACTCTATCCTTATCAGTAAAGCTTCATGCTCAAGACTTACTGTATGTGTGTTGGATATAGCAGCACATAGGTAAATAGATTGGATCAGGGCCTGGGCAGAGGAAAGTGTGAATTTCATAGACACCTTCACATAGGGTTTTTGATTCTGAATGGGATGGGTATGCTGACCTGGAAAACAAAGTCACCAGAGGTAAGAACTGTATCTTTCCACTTGGTCATAAATTCTGTTGTGATGTTAGTACAGACCCTATTGTACTGACATCTCTATTGCAATCATCAGGAACAATGAGAGACATTAGACTGTGGACTTTGAAACTGACCTATCTTAACATTGGCAAAATGGTGGAGAACTTCAAACTCCAGTTCCTGAAGACATCAAGCTCAGTCTTCATAGACAAAATGGAAAATGTGACAGCATTGTTACTGTCTGGCTCATGAACCCAATAAGGGTTTCTGTCATCATAATAGATGCTATTATCTGAAAAACTTAACATCACTAAAAATAAATTTCTTATTTATTGCAATTTTCTTCTGCTGCATGATAATAAACCATCAGATCATGTTAACTGAACATCAACATCAAGGAAGTGTTAGTATGGAAGAATTTGTTGTAAACCTGGTGATCTGGAGAGTCTGCCATTTTTTTCTGATGTGGTTGAATACATCATCTCTCCCAACTATGCTGGTCACATTTCAGATTTAGGCCTCGTTTACATAATACATAAGCATGCAGAAAATATACCGTGCAGAAAAAATACCAAAGGTCAAATGAAAACATCAAGAGTAAAATAGAAGAACCCCCCCAAATTATTCTTTTTTTCATTTTACTTGTCTCTTTTGGATCTAATTAGAGTGCTAGCTAAGCCACCAAATAATTTTTTCTCAGAAGTACTTTAAAATAGAAACACACCCAGTATACAATAGCTAACCCAGTTACTTTCACTCATTGCCTATTTGTAAACTATTCACAGATTTCAATTTCAAGAGTATAATTCCTAGTGTTTCTGGGCAGTTCTTTGGGAGATCTTTCAAAATGAGCATGTTGTTTCAGAGCATTTATAACTACCATCTTATAGAAAATGAAATCTGCTCACAATTTTAACCATCCTTATTATTAACAAGCACAGTAATGATGTTAAATCAATTGTGGTTCCTTTTTAAAAGCTGCCCTACATTTTTCTTTTATATGTTTTTAACAATTTTCAGTCCATCTCTTGGTATCATTTGTTAGTGACAAGAAGGTTAATAAAAATTTCTGCATTTAAGGAAACAAATTAAAATATCTAGTAATTACCAGAGATCCCAACATTTTTGCCAACTGGAAAAGGAGAGAAGCCAGGGGAAAGAATATTTTAAGAGCAAATCCTTAGGCAACTAGTGACAAAATCCTTGTCCTTGAAGCTTATATAAATAACTTTCCAGTGTTTTTTTAACCTTTTTTCTCCCCTCCCCAGTCCCCTCAGCAATGAGGCATGTCACTCCACTTGTTCACATCCGTCTTTTTTTATTGATGTCCACTTTGGTGTCTGTACAGGTCATCAATTTTGCTGCCTCTTAGGCAGCCAGTGGGAATGTACAAGTTAAGTCACTGGACTTTGTGTGTCAGGCTTGAGGAGGAGGGAAAGGGAGGAAGTGTCAGCTTTCTTTAGCACTAACAGTCCCAATCAGATACTGGCACTGGGTCTCATAAATCTTGTGGATGACCCAGGTGAACCCTGAGGCTCAGCGCTCACTGAAAACTGATCAGGCCTCTGCTTAGTTTAACAGGTCGTTCTCAGTGACAAGTGAAGGGTTCAACAAATGCACGAAACAGATATATATTAGTTGAAAAACTAATGGCTTTTAAAAGAATGTTTGACAATTGTTTAAGGCTGTCTGTAGATCCATTATACTGATAAACGACCAACATGGTGTTTACTAAAGTGGAGCCAGTTAGGAGGATACCAGCTTAAATTTGGCGTTTTCTTTCTCTCTTCTTTTTTCTTTTTTTCTCTGTTGGTCATCTGGGTGTGAACTCCAGGAGCAACACATCCAGGAAACCTAGGAAAATACCTGTGCTGCATAAATTTAACCTTGCAGTCCAAGTGGAATTAAAAAGATTCTGAGACTGCCCTCAGTGACCTGAAATTGACCGCTTGAACTTCTAAGTTAGGGTCAGTTGGGGCCCAGAATAAGAGGTCAAAAGCTGGTCAGCTTTCCCTAGCCCTAACATGCTGAATAGGAAGACTTTATTGCTGTGATTTATGCAATTTGCCGAGACAGGTTAAGGAGACCTTAAAACACACCACAGGGCTCACTTGCACAGGGACACCCTCTTCTTGAAAAATAAATTTTGATTGTCCAGCTGAAATCTCTTGGGGATACGCCTTGAAGTATTTTACCTTCTGTGTCTACAGATTCATTCCCACACTCGACCCCTGAATGTGACAGGGTTAGTGTTTCCAGATTTATTTAAACAATACAAATGCACCAAATGAAGCACTTTCAAACCTGATTAATTGCAAAGGCAGAATAACTATTGGTAATGAATTATTTGGGGGAGCAGTAAGCTCCTTCAAAAGTTAACTCTTAAATCAGTTGCTTCAGAGGTCCAAACATTAATAATAAAATACTTACTATACACACTTAATATTTATACTATAATACTTAAACTATTCCAAATGAAAAATTTCAAGATTCAGGTTTGTCTTTAAAACTTGGTTCTAGTGAACTATTATAATTGATACATTATCAAGCTTTTTTTGGCATAATAGAGATAAAAATTTTTCTGTTTTTATTGAGAATAAATTTTAGGACCCTTAAAAATAAGTTTCTTTTCCTAGTCTGTTCCTACTGGAGTCAGAAACAGATCATGATTTCCACTTTTATAGCAATTTGCAAGATGTGGTTTCCATTCTTTGTTTAGCTTCCCCATTTATAGCAAACCAACAATGACGATCTGGTTTTTGTGATATAAGTCGTGGTATAGCCATGAATGTCAGTTTTACTCAGGCTGAAAGCAAAAAATTGAACCCAGGTCTTTTACGAATGAAAAGCTACTTGGCGCTATAAACCTTTAAGCCACCTCTCTGCGTTTTTACAGGGCATTTAGTGCTTCTGGGTGCATGTGCCTCCATAACTCAAATTGGCTCTGATCTAATAAATGCAATTCACAAGGTATTAGTCTATAATGTGGTCTAATTTCATTTGGTAAATGAGAGAAAAAGGTAAAACTGTGAAAGATATTCACTTTGAAATATGGCTAGTGTGTAACATTCAGCAGCAAATTTCCATAAAGGTTTTAAAGACACAATTTAAAAAGGAAATATGCATGCCCCAAATATGTGTTTGCATGCTGGGTTGGATGACTCACTAGACACTATATCAGTTTGTTGGGTAAATAATAACCAATCAAACTTGGTTGGATTTGAATCAATTTGTATAAGAAGCTTATGACAGGACAAGCTTAAAGGTTATAAATTAACAAATGTGTGGAAAAAATGTTCTGCACAAATATAATTTACCTGATTAACCTCAAGACCTCTCTGTTTTGTCAAGGTCACAATGATATTTTCTTTCCCCCTCTTAACACTGCCCAGTGATGTATTTTCTTGGACACAGGGCCTAGCAGTAAAAGGCACATCTCTAATGTGCCTTAAAAACTTCTTGTATGTTCTTTGAAAACTATGCAATATTCTATTCTGGGGGGATGGAGGGGTGGAGGGATGGAAAAGACCCACCATCTTGCATCTTTTTACTATAATTCTTTGCTCATGGTGGTGGAAAGCCTACCTGTCATCTAGGTTAGGGATATGAGTGAAGCCTGTTAAGGATCGCTCAAGATAAATTAAGAAAGGGACGAGAAGATTCAAGCAGGGACTCTCCCCTCTGATCGGACTGTCATAACCTTTGTCTTCTCAGCAGCACAATTGTCTTTTATCAGTGGGTTCCCACACTTTAGTGTGGCTAAAATGTTGTTTTCCTGCTGCATTTAATCTGTTGTAAAAAGGCTATCTTCATTCTTGAACAATAAAAATTAAAGCTAATGTTCCCAGTTCACTGTAAATAGCTTTTTGGAAACTCAGTTAATTAAATCTTCCATTATGAAGTATTTTCTATTACTAGAAGAAATTAAAAGTAGATAGGAGCACAGGACAACCATTATTGAGGTTACTGAAAATCCAAAGAGATGTTGCATTATGAGAATGATTCCAGAGAAAGTCTGTGATTAAGCAAATCTCTAAAGAAATGTAAGTTTGCCATACCAAAAATCACTATTGATCAATCGGCATTTTTGAAAGCTCTTGCATCAATCAATGAGTAATTTTATCTTTTGCCCTTGGTACTAACTGTTGATTGATTCATGGATGACTTTGTTAAAAAATCAGCAGATTAATATTGAAAACTTGGTAGTAAGTAATAAATTATTACTTATTAATTTAGTGTGGTATATAGTACAGCCCTCTTCGGGCAGTTCAATCATCCTTGTTCTACATGGACTAAACCTACTCAACTTTTTGTGTTATTCCTTTAATTCATGCCAATTCAGTCTGTGGGATTTCCTTATTACTTTTGCTCAAAATGTATATTGGTGAGTCTTTGAGAAAATGAATGCTTTCCATTCCTTTACCTGGGGGTTTTCTCTCTTTGGGTTAAAAATTAAAATAGAAAAATATGATCTTGATTTCTTATTATCATCAACAATTTTTGCAATTTCAAGCATGTCAATTTTAGGTATTGTGGCCAAATGCTACCTCAAACAACATAGAATTTTTGTTTTTTCAAGAGAGCAAGATAACCTTACCGAGAGAAAATGGTTGTCATCTTAGTCTGCCATGAGGCACCGCTGACAATAAATAATTGGCGATTGTGTTCCAGACCCGAGACACAGCAAGCTGCTCACTCCTATGCTCGGCAATTGGCTTTATTCAACAGCTGCAGGTCACCAACAAGGGCTGGGAGGATTGCCTCTATGGATGCCTTAGGAATAATTTTCTCCTCTGTGTATTTCTCAGCTCTGCTGTTCTAGCATCTCGCATTTAACTTATCTCAGGGAGCCTTTGTCTAACAAAGAAAAAAGTGTTTAAACTAATAGGAGGCTAATTTTCCTGGAAAACCAACTAAATAATTACAACGGAAATATTTCTATTAACATATTCAGTTCAACATTTTGAAGGCCTATAATCACAAAGAGGATAACTTCATTCTTTCTTTATGCAACTCAGATAATATGTTGATATACCTTTCATCATTTTGTTTCAGTGAATAATAAGAACCAATATATTAATAGTAAGGCTTCACTGTGAGTATTCCACTAAGTGTTTTTATCTAAATTCACTCTTTTAAACCTCATAATAATACTATTATCTCCATTGAACAGATGAGGAAACTGAGGTGCAGAGACAGTAAAACTCAAGGACAGTTGGTAATGGTGTTGAGATCCTGTGCTCATGAACATACTATACCATATCAACTAATTAATGTAATTGATTAAACTGGGGCAACTCTAGGCAAAATTATGTAGTAGAAAACTACTTGACATTTTTAGTGTCCTCTTCCAGTACTCTTTTCTTATATTCAGGAGCAGTCTTTTCCCCATCCATTTATGTCTCTTCCATTTATACTTTATCTACAAGAAATAATGTAGTATTCATTATTTATATATTGACTAAATCCATTCACACTACTATGATACCTTTTTCTTTTCTTTTTTTCTTTTTTTTGAGAGGGAGTCTCGCTCACCCAGGCTGGAGTGCAGTGGCGCGATCTCCGCTCACTGCAAGCTCCGCCTCCTGGGTTCACACCATTCTCCTGCCTCAGCCTCCGGAGTAGCTGGGACTACAGGTGCCCACCACCACGCCCGGCTAATGTTTTGTATTTTTAGTAGAGACGGGGTTTCACCGTGTTAGCCAGGATGGTCTCGATCTCCTGACCTCGTGATCCGCCCGCCTAGGGCTCCCAAAGTGCTGGGATTACAGGCGTGAGCCACTGTGCCTGGCCATATGATACCTTTTTCTAAGTAATTTACATTTGTGTATTCATTCATTTCACACAGCTATTGAGACTTTATTTTGTTCCAGAAACTACTCCTCCCTTTTTTTTCTTTTCTTCCTTCTTTCTGTTCTGTACTTCCTTCCTTCCTTCTTTCCTTTCTTCTCTCCTTCCCTCCTTTCCACTTTCCTTAGCTCTCTTTCTTCTTTCCTAAAAAAGTCTGGGCCTCAGCAAACAGATGAAGGAGATGGAAGGTCTTCTTGTGGCTTTTGATATTTTGCTAAGCCACATGCTGGCCTCAACATGAACCTTCTCTAACTATTTTGGAGAGAGGGAAGCCAACAGGGTCAGCACATCACTCACTCCTCCAGGACCAGATAGTCCTAATCCCTGGGAGAAGCTTAAAACAATGCATGGAGACCTATCTGAAGCCTTTACTAATTCCTCTGGATTTTAGAGGCTCAGATTCATAGATGTAGGCAGGCAAGCAAGCATTTCATTCAAAGTGCACAAAGCACAATGATCTCTAGTCATAAGCTGGTAGAGCATGCACCATAACCTTCTAAGGTGAAAGACAACAGCGGTTCTTTTGGTTTATGTGATAGAGTATTTGAGTATTGCCTTTAGCTTTGTCTTTTCCATGCATGGTTGCAAATGAAAAAATTAATTGAAACTATAATATTTTACCAAAAATTTTATGGCAACTATTCAGAACATGAATGAATTCATTTAAAATAATTCCATGTTTGCAACAAGATTTGTGCTTTTAATGAATGTAGTCTAAATCATGGGTTTAATGCAGAATCAAGTCAGTTAAACTTCATGCTTTTTCTAGCCCTGTTGTAAATGTTTTTTATAGTTCTAATGCTTAAGGGACTTTTGTCAAACTTTTTGGTGACAACTAGATAAAAAAACCCACAGTTATTTGGCTCTATTTCTCTCCAGAGCTGGCAGTGAACAGGAATTGCAGAATGCAATTGGCAGAGCCAAATACACACAAAGACAATGTAATAACATTTCAAATGAACAATTCCATTGGGTTCTTTGTTGAAAGTATTATCTTGTCTCCTTTTAGTGATTTAGTGTTTTTTTTCTAGATTCCATTCCAGAGCTTAGAAAATATCAGACCTATAAATAAGAAGACAAAAACACAATGTTTTGTACATTTCTTAAACCACCAGAATACATCCAGGGAAAAGGCTAAAATAATAAAAAAAAATTAAAATGGAAATTTGTTGAAATGCTACTTTTTGTGACTTTTTTGAGTTTAACCTATGTTTTTATACCCACACTTATTCCAGAAATGTTTTAAGTTTCCTCAATAGCAAAAAGAAAAGCAGCATATCATAAATTTAAAAGTTGCCACAAAAAAGGAATAACAAAATTGAATATCAAATAGAATAAAAATGACTAAAGAAAATGAATACATGAAAAGATGTACAACAACCTTTAGGGAAATTTAAGTTAAAAGTTTTGGGGAAATTTAAATTAAGACCTCAGTGAGATGCTACTGCATACCTATTAGGATGACTTAAATTAAAATACTGACAATACTGAGTGCTGGCCGGAATGTGGAGCAAATGGGATTCTTGCACATTGCTGGTAAGAATGCAAATGGTATATCCACTCTGGAAAACAGTTTGGCAATTTCTTATAAAATTAAACATATACCTACCATTTGAGTTAGGAATACCACTCCTGATGCTTACTCTATGCAAATGAAATTTTATTTTGACACAATGCCCGTGTATGAATGTTTATAGCAGTTCTATTCCTTACTGCCCCAAACTAAAAATAATCCAATGCCTTCCAATGGGTGAATAGATAAACAAATTGTAATGCACTCATACCATGGAACACTAAAAGGGAATAGGCTACCAATACATGCAATAATTTGGATGAATCTAAAAAAATGACATGCTGAGTAAAAGAGGTCAGTCCTTAAAGGATTCCTACTGTATGCATCAATTTTTTTGACATTCTTGAAAAAAACAAACTACAGTGATGGAGAATAGCAGAGGTTGCTGGAGTTGCAGTGGAGAAAGAGTATAACTAGAAAGGATAGAATGAAGAGGCTTTTGGTAATGACAAAACTCTTGTATCCTGATTGTGATGGTGGTCACGCAAATTGATATATGTGTTAAGACACATTAAATTGCATATCAAATTAAAAAAAATGACTAAAGATGTAGGTTTTAAATCTGGCACTAGGTTTTCTAATGGGTAAAAGGGAATTTGTTGAGTTACGCAATTTACAAGACACATAATGGAGAAGAAAACATTGGATGCAGTGAGGAAGTTCGACTACTATTTATGTTGATAACAGATATAACTTTGCAACGAAACACAATGCATGATGCAAAGGATAAGGTCCTGTGTGAATAAGTTTCATTGAAATGTTTCTTTTTGGGTCCCTCGATATAGGCAGATGGCATCACAACAAAACACAGTAGAGTAAAGTTAATTTGAGGTGTGTCAACTCCATGTAATCTACAAAAAGATTTTTTTTTATCTTGGTCATTCCAGAACGTATACTCCAAAACATACTGTCTAAAAATATGTGTTTATTATTTATCATGTAATATAAATTTTATATATTAGCTTACTTCCCAAATAATGTATTTATAAGGATTACTTTTAATAATTATAAGCATAAAACAATGTGAAGGCAGAAGATGCAAGGTGTGAGCATTAACTCATAAAGATGAAATTAGTTTTGTGGCATCTGTAACATCTCATTGTAATCATAATATGTGTGTGGAAATAAAATATCACTTTTCAATAGCATTTTAATGTCAAAAGGTTTAAATAAGAGCATAACGTTATACACATATAAGTGAAACATATTCAATCAAAGTTAAGAAAAATTCCCTATTCAGTCACTTCTATTTAAAAAAATTTAATTTACAAGTTTAGTCCTGGAAAAACACAACAATAAAATATAATATATTTTACACATTAAGTGCTTTTCCTCATGTTTCGGTTACATTGGACAGAAAAGAAAACCTCTCTCGATAATATTTGACATTAACTAAGTCATGAATGTCATTTACTGCCGTAAATGTGTGTATATTTGTTTGTTGGCATGCCTGGGAGAATTCAGCATAGTATTTCACTCACATTATTAGAAGCAGCATTGCTCTAGACTAAATAATTCCAAATCTCTTGGAATTACCAAAGAGATAATGGGAAAATCAGAACAGGTATGTTATAGTACAATAGCAAAACCCTAATCGTTGAATGCTTCAGTATACATCACTGCTATTTTACCTATTACATTTGAAATTTTGTAACTATCCTTACCTATCTCAAAGATGAGCTTTCTCCAACTCTGCCAAATCTTTTCTAGGCAGAAATTTACTGACTCAGGTCATTCTGGTTCTAATGAGTTGGGAGGTCTGCCTATCCAATGCCATTTTGTTTATGGTTTATTGCTAATCATGGCATTCCTTAAAAAAAAACAAAACACTTAAATCTCATCACTTTTTTGGGAGAGTCTAACCATATGCCCTCTTTGCCAATATGCCCTAAATACATCATAAATTTTTTGTCTTTTTAAAAAAATTTTTAATTTTTAATTTTTGTGGTTATATAGTAGGTGTATATATTTATAGGGTACATGAGATGTTTTGATACAGGAATTCAATGTGAAATAATCACATCATGAAGAATGGGGTATCCATGCCCTCAAGCATTTATCCTTTGTGTTGCAAACAGTCTGATTATACTTTTTCAATTATTTTTTAATGCAAAATTAAGTTATTATTGACTATATTTTCCCTGTTGTGCTATCAAATAGTAGGTCTTATTCATTCTTTCTAATTACTTTTTTTCTATCCATTAATCATCCCCACCTTCTGCTCACCTCCCCATTATCCTTCCCAGCCTCTGGTAACTATCTTACTCTCTGTGTCCATGAATTCTATCGTTTTGATTTTTAGATCCCACAAATAAATAATAACATGCTATGTTCATCTTTCTGTGCCTGGCTTATTTCATTTAACCTAATGATCTCCAGTTCCATCCATGTTGTTGCAAATGACAGGATCTCATTCTTTTTTATGGCTGAGTAGAATTCCATTGTGTAAACATACCACATTTTCTTTATCCATTCATCTGTTTATGAGCACTTAGGTTGCCTCCAAATCTTAGCTATTGTGAACAGTGCTGCTACGAACTTGGGAATGCAGTTAACTCTTTATTATACTGCTTTCCTTTCTTTGGGGTACATACCTATCAGTGGAATTGCTGGATCGTATGGTAGTTCTATTTTTAGTTTTTTAAGAAACCTCCAAAATGTTCTCCATAACAGTTGAACTAATTTACATTTCCATCAACAGTGTGTGAGGGTTCTTTTTTCTCTACATCCTTGCCAGCATTTTTTGTTGCCTGTCTTTTAGATATAAACCATTTTAACTGAGGTGGTACTATATCTCATTACAGTTTTGATTTGCATTTCTCAGATGATCAATGATGTTGAGTGCCTTTTCATATGTGTGTTTGTCATTTGTATGTCTTATTTTGAAAAATGTCTATTCATATCTTTTGCCCATTTTTAATCAGATTATTAGCTTTTTTTTCCTATAGAGTTATTTGAGCTCCTTATATATTCTGGTTATTAATTCCTTGTCAGATGGGTAGTTTGCAAATATTTTCTCCCATTCCGTGGGTTGTCTCTTCACTTTGTTGATTGTTTCCTTTGCTGTGCAGAAGCTTTTTCTTGATGTGATCCCATTTGTCCATTTTTGCTTTGGCTGCCTGCGCTTGTGGGGTATTGCTCAATAAATTTTTGCCCAGACCAATGTCCTAGAGAGTTTTCTCAATGTTTTCTTGCAGTAATTTCATGGTTTGAGGTCTTAGAGTTAAGTCTTTAATCTATTTCGATTTGATTTTTTGTTTGTATGGTGAGAGATAGGGGTCTATTTTCACTCTTCTGCATATGAATATTCAGTTTTCATGGCACCGTTTATTGAAGAGACTGTTTTTTTTTCCAGACTATGCACTTTTTGTCTTATTGACATCTTTTTATAGTAGCAAATTCTTTCCCAAGAGGAAATTGGGCACAGTTCTTTCAGTTTATATGTGTACCTTTTGATATTCTGAAGAAATCATGTTGCCTTGAGGCCTAATGTCAAGTTACTTATATAAAGAATAATTTTGTGATCTAGTGTGGGCCAGTATGAAATAAAACGATGGCCGTTTCATATTTCAGGACAATGACAATTCAAGATGAATGGCAATCTAGTTGTCAAACTCAATGAACATAATGACCATATTCCCCAAAATATATAAAGCATATGATAACTAAGCCAGGAATACAATATTTGTAAATTGTATCAAGGAGACAAATCTTATTGATTACATTTTATCTTACTTTACACCAGTTAAAAAAACCTTTAGGTTTTCCTTATTGCCTTAAGGAGAAAACTCTAAATTCTTAGGATGGCATAAAGTTTCCTCTAGTATTTGTGTCCTAGTTACTTTTGTAGTCCAGTCATCTTACTTGCCTATAGATACCCCATGCCATAGTTGTCTACACTATGTGAAGTGGCGTGTGTAGTTCTACCAGCCTGAAACATTTCTCCTCCCTGTCTGGTGGGTAAACTCTTCAAAGTCTATCAGAACTGGTCATTTAGGTCATTTCTATGAATACTTCTTGTTCCAAAGTAGACTTAGGTCCACAGGATGCTGTGTCCAGCTCTAAAGAGAAGCTGTGACATTGTTTTCAATCATTCATTTATTTGCCAGTTGCCTCCATCTTACTGAATTTTTGGAGAAAACTTTTGTATCATCTGACCTTATCAGACTGGTATATAGTTGATTTTCAATAAATACTTGTTGACTGAACTAAATGTGTATGGCAGTGGTAATGGTGGGAGGGGATTGCGTTCAAGGCTGGAAAGAGGAAAGGTACATACCAAACAGCTTCCCCTCTGAGGACTAATTTGAGAAAACTCAATACACAACTGTGAGAAAGATATTGCAGACAAGACTATTGACTGGGATTTATAAACTGTGCCCAGAGAACAGCAGGATTTTTAAGGCTATATGGACATAAGTGTTCCATAATGTTTTAGAAGTGAAAACAAAAGAATTGGGAGTTATTAAGATGTCCACACCTTTCAGTTTGAGTCTTAAATTAATTTGCCCATTATGCTTTTTTAAAAAAGCAATTTAAACTGGAAAAACTGCTATAAAATTTCTCTGTGACCTTGGGAAAGTCATTTAACATGACCAGGCCTCAAAGTGCTTATCAAAGAAATGAAAAGGATTTAGTATTCACACCAAAACAATATTTTGTTCTTCAGTGACATCTTAATAGATTAACAGAAGCCATATTTTGTAGGCTTAACACATAGAATCTGACTTCTTTCCCCGACTTAATTGATGGGTTGCTCAATAATCTCCCTACCCAACTTGTTTTCTCTCATCAGCTTGCTACAATATTTAAAATTCCCACCAGGACCTTCTTGAGTTCAGGATTATCTCTAGAATGCCTTCTTTAAAATGCAAACAAATTATCTAGAGGATAGATACATAAACTCATTAATACATATTCAATATGGATTAGTGATCTTTAAAACTTAAATCTGATCGGGTCACTACCTGACTTAAAATCTTTCAGCAGCTTCCCAGTGGGCTTAGAAAAAAGACAAACTGCTTAATGCAGGCTCTGAGCCCCAGCACATTCAATTCCACCTCCCTGCTCACTTCTCCAGCCTCATCCCTACTGCTCTCCTCCGGCTCTGTGAGCTCCAGCCACTCTGCCTTCTTTCAATCTCCTGCAATCACCCTGCTTCCACCCGCTGCAGGAAACTTATATTTGCTGTGCCCTTCACCTGAAGTACTTTTCTCTAGTTTACCTACTTAGTGTCTATATATCTTTCATTTCTCACTTAATTGCTGCCTTTTCAGGGCAGTGTTCCCTGAACTAATTTATGACTAAGTCAAGTTCTCCTAATCCAGACTCCCCTAGCACCATGCACCTCCGTTTCCATGTCTTCAGAGCCCTCCTCCTTTAATTATCAGATTGCTGGCTGCCTTCCTCACTAGATTGTAAACTCCTTGAGGACAGGAATTACATCTGTTCCTTACTGCCTATCATGATGCTTATGCCCTTCTAAATATTTGTGGAATGAATGAATACAGGATTAAATGAATGAATACATAAATATATCATTCAGATTAGTCAGCTCTGAGATTTAAAGCATGGAAATTTGTGGAATAAGATTTAAGACAAATTAAAAGCCAGTCTTCCCAGTGGAAGATCCCAGGATCCCCACTCCTCCCTTAGGCTGTTTCTCCTCTTCCCTCTTCTCCTAGTCCTCTCCTTCTTCTTCACTTCCTTTCAGCCATGCTGACTTCCTTGTGGTTCCTGGAACGCACCAAGCATCCCCTGTCCTTATGGTCTTGGGGCATAGGTCATTTCCTCATAGGAACTCTCCTCCAGGCGTCTGCATGGCTAACTTCTTTACTCAGAAGCCACCTTCTCAGTGAGGCCTATCTTGACCATCCTGTTTGAAAGCACAATCCTCTTTCTCCACTCCCCATCCCTTGCCCATAACTCATCTTCTTTACCATGCTTTATTTTTTTCCCTCATAGCCATACTATCTTCTAACATCTCATACAATTTACTTGTTTATTATAGTTATTTACTGTTTCTCATCTTAGAATGTAAGCTTCTGGAGGCCAGGGATCTCTGTTTGGTTCATTGACACACCCACATACCTGGCTTGAACAATACCTAGCTACACAGAGTGAGTGTTCATAAATATTTGCCGAATGAATGAAGGAAAGGCCATGGGCAGGAACCTCATCCAGATGAAGTGTACGGTGAAAAATACCAGGCAATAAGCAGTCCCAATGGAGAGCAGCAGGAAGGAGGCAGGGTTTTAAAAACAGTCATCTGCTTTTCCATTTTGCATTAGGCCTAACCCTACTTTTAATTTAATGAACATAGTGAAAGATTCTAATCTACTCCAAAATAATTTATATAATAGATAGGCTTATGGGCATGACCATGCTTCTGACAAATGAGAGATTTCTGTCTTTGAGTTCTGCTGTGTAAACATGACAGATGGTTATATAAACATAGTACTTAAGAACTGTATTTGGCAAAGGAGCAAGAAATATTCTTACAATGACATTCTGCACTTTTCTTTACAAGAACCAGAAAATTGTATAAAGACATGAAGTCCCTTTCCCTTAAATCTGTAAAAAGTGTCTATTACCGTGTTCACCCAAGTCAACCATATTTCCAAACTGTTCAAACTGTATTGCTCTTTCTGCAACTGGACAACAATGGCTAATTTGATATTTAGGAAAATGTATTTAAGCTTTGATCTTTAATGTTGACTAGTTATTTGATATTTATTTAACTCCTGAAAATCTCAAGACTTATGAAGTACAGCAAAGGAAGAAAAAAATGCAAGTATCTTAAAAACAGTTTTATTAATATTAAATTATATTTAAGTGGGAAATTTGCAGAAATTTTCTATTCAGTAGACAATTTTAACGAATTAGGTTTACAACTTAATTGTATCAGACTTAGAGGAGGTTATATAATTTCTGAGGTCACCTTGAGATCATAAGGAAGATAATGCAGACTTTATTCTCAAATACAGCTCCCAGGAACGTACTTAGCTTATGAATAAACAGATTAAGAAGGATCTTTTGTTTCTTCTGTTACTCTTGCTCTTTGAATCAAGATTCAAAGATCATGATTTCTCTGCCTACACTCGCTCTAAGTTGCTTTTCTCTCAAAGGATGGTTTTATATGGTGGTACCCCTCCTGCCCCTACCCACCCCCCACCCACCCCCCAGCCCCTCATCTGTCTCCAGCCTTCAGTCTTTTCAAGAGAACAGAAGGAAAAGAGAGCTAATCACACACAGTCCACACTCTGGCCTTCTTAATGAAATGATTTAGGTTACTGAAGTTCTCCCTGTTAATGTTGTAGTTGTAAAAACTATGTGTATTTCATTAAAATTTCTTATGACTTTTGTTACATTGGCAACAATATCTCATATTTTATAGGAATATTTCTAATTGATATCCACAATCTAGATTTCAAGTACCTGGACAATGACATGTGTTCTGTAATAATGGCTATTTAAAGCAATAACTCAGAAAAGGACCAAACCAAACCAAACAAAACTGTGGGTAGGTGGGATCATGAGATATTTAGCTTGAATTAGAGAGTCACAAACCTTGTTATTTAAAAACTGGAAAAACTGGGAAAGCTTCATTTTCTCCATGAATTTTAAAGAGTGCACAAGCTTAACCCACTGAACACAACTCTGAAATGTTTCTAATTCCCTTATTATCAAGGAAGGTAGACCAGAGGGTGTGGAAAGAATTTTACCTTAGGGAAATGTACCGCTGTGCATTCTCAGTAACTGTATAGTCCATTTCTGCCTGTATGCTTGAAAATTAACGGCATGTTAACGGGACTATTGCCTACACTTGTGGCACTGTCTGCATAGGATTAGGCCATTAAATATTGATGGAGATAATTGTTCCTGCACTTGAACATCAGAAAGATGGAACTAAAAGTAGTTTAACTGGCATTTGCCTTTATGCTTGGTAAATAGAGGGCTGGATTTCAAGGTACAGAAGGATAAGTATTGCCATGTACTCAGCTCCATAGCCAAAGCATCATTGATCAGAAAGTGTGGTTTGTAAAAATGTTATAGTAAAAGTTAAATGAAACAATTCAGCTGAGGCTTGTCGAAATTTACTGGAATAGAATGTGATATAACTGTGCATTTAGAACATGCAAGCATGATTTCTTGCCATTTGTTGAATTATTTTTTATTTTAAAATGAAATTCACATGTGCTATGGGAAGAACTGCTGTTGTAGTTAGTGTATTTTATAATCCAGAAGATTTCTTATACTTTTATCAGATAATGCCTTAGGCAGGCCAACTGATTGAATAAAAGTCTCTAGGGCTTACTCTGTTTTATTGCTGTGCCTTGGAATTGTTTGTCTTCCAAACCAGATTTTCTCTTGAAAGGTTGTGTCCTGTTCATCATCTTAACCTCAGTGCCTAGTACAGTGCTTAACACATCCTAGCTAATCAATAAATATATGTCGAATGAATGTTTGTAATATCATCCATAACCTTGATATTGTTACACAGTCATAGAAATATCTCATCTGATGGAACTGAGTTTCACCAGATTTGAATGATGACACCGGAGCCTCATGTACTTTACATTATTGGTAAAAACAGGGATCTTGGCTACCAGCAGACTTGTTTTTGGATCTAGGCTCTATTATTTACTAGCATGTGATTTGGAGCAGATTATTTAAAATTTTTAACCCTTAGGTTTTTTATTAGTAAAATGGGGATAATATTCCCTATCTCATAAAGCTGGTTTGATAATTAAGTAATGTATTTAAAAGATCTATCCATAGTGCCCAGAACACCATAGCTTCTCAATGACAAAAATTATGTTCAAAAATTGCATTCAAAAAGAATTTGAGCGATTTCAAGGATCTATCCAATGGGTCTGTCTTTTGTCCAGAATGTGGTAAACAAAGAGAAAGAAAATAATGCAAGTGTCTTGAAAGCATAATACTAGGGGATTATTTGTTTAATTAAAATGACTTTCAGTCTTATTTCAGTTTATCTTTATTTATTTATGTATCTTTAATATTCTAAGCCTGTGTGGCACGAATCACTTGCTGGGTAAACTAAACCTGCCTAAAATTAAATCAGAATGGATCTCCTTATTTGGTGACCACTGTTATTATGGGCTGAATTTTATGCTTCTCCCTAACCCCAAATTCATATGTTGAAGCCCTAAACCCCAGTACCCAAGAAAATGACTGTATTTGGAGACAGAGTTTGTAAAGAGGTTATTAAGTTAAAATAAGGCTGTTAAGTGGGTCTTTATTCAATCTGATTAATCTCATAACAGGAGATTAGGACTCTCAGAAGAGACACCAGAGGCGTGGCCACACAGAGAAAAAGATCATGTGGGGACACAGTGAAAAGGCAGCCATCATAAGCCACAGAGAGAGGACTCAGAAGAAACCAACTCTGCTGACACCTTCATCTTGAACTTCTAGCCTCTAGAACTGTGAAAAAACAAATTTCTGTTGTTAAGACACCCGGTCTGTGGTATTTTGTTAAGACAGCCCTAGCAAACTAACACAATTTTGTACACTAAATAAAGTCCAATTCAATTTTAATTTTATAGAAACTGAAACAAATAATTTAAAGATTTACTTAGTAAATTACTTCAGATTGGGATCAAATGTGTACATGAATTATGAAAATGTAAGAAATGGATATTTAAATAAGTATACCAGAACATAAAAATTCCAGTGCCTGGTTTTTTTTTTTTTTTTGAAAGCCACTTATCCCAACAATAAAACTGATGCTCAAAATATTTTGGGACCTATCTTTATACTCTGTTAATTATGCACTCAAGAAAATAAGTGTGACTATATTACAGCCACTCCATTTTTGTTTGTTTGTTTATGTTATTCAGCTTAGTCATTTAAACAATTTTCACTGCAATCGCTACAAGTTTTGTTGTTTCTTAGTATTGAATCCACTCTCAAGGGATGATGACTTTCCACCATGAACTTTGAAAACAGTTCCAAAGAAAACTTCAAAAAGGTTTTGAGTGCTTAGGATCAATGTCAATCCAGTGGGTACCTTGATTTTTTACCTCCTACAGTCTGAAGCTCTTGTAGCCACTAGCATAATCTCCTGCATAGGTGTCCCTGGTGCTATTCTATTTCCTTTGGTAGCATGCTGGGTGCATCTCCCTGATGCTGTGTTTCCCGGGGTTCACAGATTTATGGTGTCATTTGATTTTTGCTTTTCAAATATCTTGAAATATTTCTTTTGGCTGACCTTGTTTAGGTGTGCTTCATTTTAGCTGTCTGTCAACTAACCTCCCTGTGCAGGCTGTTTCTAAGCCTCCTTATCCCCACCCTTTGCTTTGGTTGTTACATCCTGCTACCTCTCTTTTCAAATTTTACTTCCTTAGATTCGGTTATGTTACTTAAGCCAGTTAAAATTTCTCTTAGTTTCTGATACTATCAGTGCAGTGGAAGGGAGGCAACAGTGTGAGAGTTAAGTGAGGACCCTGAGGTTGGACTCTCTGAGTTCGAATCTCAGCTTTGCTTGTTGCCACTATCTGTGATTCGTTTGATTACTTACCTTTCAGAGCCTCAGCTTCCTTCTTCTTACAATGGGGGTTTCAGTGATACCTACATTATTGGTCATTGTGAGATTAAATGAGTTGATATCTGCAAAGCTCTTAGCAGAGAGCTTGGCACACAGTAGGCTCTCAGGAAATGTTAACTGCTGCAATCATACAGCATCTGTTTCTAGGAAGTAACAATGTGCATGCCTCAGCAATGGCTGACTCCTGTGCAAAAAATGCAAGCTAGAAATCCAGTTGCCTCTGAAAAGCTGTGAGTTGTCACTTAATTTCAGAAGCCACATGAAGATGGATTTCATGTCTCTTATCTTTGAGTGAGGCCAAAACCAAAAGCAGCTGGTTTTCACCCAAGAAAGTGGCCTGAAAATTATCATTGCACATTTCTCTCCCACTTTTGTTTTAAATTAGACTCCTCAAAGTCTCTACGTGGATAGGAGGCTATTTAATATTTCATTTGATCCCATTTTGCTACTAGAAACATGTAGACTTTGGGTGGGAGAAGCAGAAAGTGACTGAATAAATTTCAACAACCTTAATTTGGTTCATCTCAAAACTACATCTGTAGCCACATTTCCATTGAGGTTCCAACTTCTATCATTCCCGAAGAACAGGACAGTATGAACCTCAAAGGAACAAATTCATTAATAGTAATTAGAAGTGCATTTTGGCATCTGTGAGATGAAGAATTACAAATTCAGTCCATCTGGGCCATTTTTTTAAAGTTCTTCTTACCTGCTGGTCTCAGGAAGGAAGGAGTCATCATTGCATGACATAAGGGAACACAAATACTGCGGCTGAAGCCCGTGGAGGTGCTCAGTGTCTGTCTTAACACATATTCATGGTGGGATGAGTCATATGCTCACTCATTTTTAGTTACATTTATTGACCAAGCTAAAAGTGTTACTTAAGATATATTAAAGACAGATGTTAAAGGCTAGACACCATTTTCTTTTAAAATTATTTTTAAAGGAGGGCTTAATGCATATTCATATTCAATTTTATGATCCCTTTCATTTCAACTACACCAAATTTCCAGTGTCCATCCTAGAGAACCTCTGTAGAATTCAAAAAGCTACAGTTTTTACTTTGAACTTTTTTCTATGTAGATAGAGTTTCATTCACAACCAGATAAAGATATCTTTGTATCCTACTTATTGTAATAATAGACCGGATGGATTCTTGGTAAAACCTGAATATTTTTAAATGCTCTATATGTTCTAGCTCTAAATTGCATGTTTTAAGCATATTGCTTTGAAATCCTGAAAAAAATGCATACTGAATTTTGATGTGTTCTAAAACAGTCATGAAAATTAACATCTTCCCTCAGCCCAGGGCCAAACAGATTTTTTTGCAGGGCCAAATTAGAATCTGCCTACAGGCTTCAGATAAAAAAAGGTAGCAAGCAGGCAACTTTTTAAAGTCAGAAAAGGCAAAGTAATCTTACATGGCTATCTTTTTTGGTAATCTAAGTAGCTGGGGAAGGGAACAATCTTTTAATTTAGCCATAACCCTCTAGAGTATGTGGATGTTGGTTGATCTTTGCCAGGATTTAAGCAGGCATAATGGTACTGTATATCTTTTAGGCAACTAATGGTTTTAATGGACATATAAGTTACTGGGAGTAGAACTTACAAGGCATGTTAACTAGGTACTCTTTAAAAAAAAATTAAGGTTCACATTTGAGTAGACTTAACTTATTATATGGAACTGGGAGGTCAGAAGCCAGAACCATAGACTACTGGTTACAGATCACCATTTCTATCTGCTCTGAAATTCCATAGGTGAAACTAACAGCATGGACTATAACAGAAATTAGACTGAGTGCATTAACAGAGAAGCAATCCCTGTGACACCAGGAAAAGAAAGAGAGCATAGTGCAGCCCAGAAATAGAAGGCCTTGGAATAAAAGCATGTGAACTTGGAGACTCTGTGATGCACAAATGTGGATATGGATATAGATGCATAGAGCCCAGGACCAGTTAATTCAAGAGACATTTATGGGCACACACCCAGAAGTATGCTAGATGCGGAGGGTCAAATATAAATAAGACACAGTCTCTGTCCTCAAAGAGCTCAAAGTCTATTGAAAGGACTATAAGAGGATGAAGGGAAAACAACCTAGAGGAGCTAATATGAATAATAATGAGCAAACATTTTTTGAGTGCTTAAGATGGCCCACTCACTATTTTCAGCCTATTAGCATTTATTTTCAATTGTATAACAACTCAGTGAGTTAGGAACATTTTTTATTTTCATCTTGCACTTAAGAGAACTGAGACTAGAAGAAGTTAAGTAACTTACCCAAGGTCACAAAGCTAACAATTGGTGCCACAGCCAAGAAAAGGAATACAGAATAGGAACAGAAAGAGAAGTCATTTATATATATTGATCATTGATAGATACATATCATTGTATATGTCTCATTATATATATCCTCACTCCCTCCACACATACTGTAAATATGCCTTATATGTTCCTGCTTCTCTAGTTTTCTGTATGCCATTAACATTCTTGAAACATACTTAATGCATTTCCTCATTCTTTGTGTCTGTCCACCTGTGAAGATCAGCTTAAATTCTACTTCATTTATGAGTCCTTCTCTGAAGACTCTTGATGGAAATGCTCTCTCCCCACCCTAAAACTTTATTATCTTTATTTTTGTTTGCTTATTTATGAAATGTTATTTTATAGAGTATACTATCATTGCTTTTCTTGAGTGTAGCAATTTAGAAAGTATTTCCCCTCAGGTCTACACATGTAAGGCATACTGTGTTTCTTGATGTGTCAATGGATAGATTGAAACAAGGAAGCCCCTGTCATTCAGGCACCATTGCTGCCTTATACCAATGTCTGATGTGCCATTGCTTCTCTTGGTTCCATTATTATTTACAGTTATAATCAGGGATTGTAAATGAAGTCTACTTGACTGTCTTTTGCTGATAGAAACTATTCTGGTAGAACTGACTTCCAGCATTCTGTACTGCTGGGTCTTCTGCTGGGTCACTTCTTGGTTTACTCTGACTATCTCACTTCACTGTTTTATATTCTTTTTAGTCTGATGAATAATATCATACAAGGAAAGGCTGGAAAGAAATCAGCTAACCAGCCAGGATGTTTCCCTTGCAACAATATTTTATGATCCTTTACAAAGTTGCCAAAATGGGAATCATTCATTTGCAGCTCTCTCATCAGATTATAGTTCTAATGCCTAGGGTGCTGGCCATGCCCAGAGCCAGAGACCCTTGGAGTAGATGGGCCCTCTCTCTTCTCTGGAGCTCCAGATATGCCTGGGTTGTAGGATGGTCATTTTAACTGACTGAGTAAACAGTCTTTTCAGCTTCCTTTGAGTTCTTTCCCTGAGCAGCCACCTAGGAGTACGATAAGCTCTAAGGGATTGGTAAAATACCCCAATTGTTCTCCATCACACTCCCTTATTTACTGTGCTGACAAAGTCAAATAACTCCACAAAGATATCGTGTTGGCTGCAATACCCCCCGCCACGGCCCCCCCACCCCACTGGGGAGGCTGAGGCAGGAGAATTGCTTGAACCCAGGAAGCGGAGGCTGCAGTGAGCTGACATCACACCACTGCACTCCAGCCTGGTGACAGAGTGAGACTCCGTCTCAAAAAAATAAAAAATAAAATAAAATAAATAAATAAAATACAATATCTCTTGAAGGGACTCTATTTGACTTAATTGGTAGTTCTATGTCTGACAATGCTCAGGTTAAATCTTTGTGTTTTCTAAATGGCTTCAAGTCTTTGAAGACTGAGTCATAGGGGAAACCAGAGTTTAGAATTCTCAATCTAGCCAAATGGGGTTACACAAAAATATGAAATTGTAATTATGTTATTCTTGAGTGGGAGCTGACTAAATGTTAGATTCTTTCTCTGGGAGTAGCCAGATTATGAATCTAGTGGACTGCAATAGAATCTCATGATTTGTTCAGTGAAGGCCAATACTCCAGGTGTGCCAACTGTGAAGGAGAGAGTTTTAGGATGAGAGTGCCCATGATCCACTTTGTCAAGAAAGAGGTAGCACAAATCTTTCATTCATGGTCCATCTGTGAGGTAAAGTGTAAGAAGTTTGAGAAAACGCATGTGCTAACCTTTTGTGTCTATGTGGCTTGTGAACATGCCCACTGGACTAAATGTTGAAGAAGGGGTAGGTTTATGTGTTGCTGGTTCTATAAAATACAAGGATCTCTATGGTTTATCTTAACTCATTTCCCCATCCAGTTGATAAATTATGCTTGCTAGTTATTGAGGGAAGAAAAATGTCCTCTTCAAAATTCTCTCTTTTGTGAAAAAGAGATTTTTATTGTGTATACGACAAGGCTTTATGGGATACATATAGGTTGTAAAATAGTTACTCTAGTGAAACAAATAAACATGTTTATCACTTTAAAATATCTCTTGTGGCTGGGCGTGGTGACTCACACCTGTAATCCCAGCACTTTGGGAGGCTGAGGTAGACAGATCACGAGGTCAACAGATCAAGACCATCCTAGCCAACAAGATGCAACCCTGTCTCTACTAAAAATACAAAAATTAGCTGGGCGTAGTGGCGGGCGCTTGTAGTCCCAGCTACTCGGAAGGCTGAGGCAGTAGAATTGCTTGAACGCAGGAGGCGGAGGTTGCAGGGAGCCGAGATCGCACCACTGCACTCCAGCCTGGCGATGGAGCGAGACTCTGCCTCAAAATAAAATAAGATAAATTAAAATAAAAAATATAAAAAGTATCTCTTGAAGGGGCTCTATTTGACTTAACTGGTAGTTCTATGTCTGACAATGCTCAGGTTGATGCTAAAAAAAAAAACTTAAAAAATAAATGCATAAGGGCCAAAGAGAGGAACATACATTCTCTATTTCCCTCTCAATTACCCTCTCTGTCTTTTTAAGCAATGCCAGATGACATAGTGAGGAGTTGAACAGAGAAAATAGCCTTTAACATTTTCCAGTGATGTATATTAAGCATATTTACTTTATGCCATGTAATGTGTAAGGAGCCAAAGCAAGAAAGAAAAGTGAGGTACTGTTGCTACCCCAAGTCAAATGGAATGAGTAGAAGGAAAAGAAAATGCCCATGAAAAAGGATATGATAAGAATAGTGGAGAAAAGATTAATCGGAAATCATCATGAAAATGTAATCATGTGGGAGGAAAGAGTTTTCACAGAAGACTATACAAATTTAGGAAAAAATTAGTACTTTTTAAAAGCTTACAACAATTCATAAAATTGAATTTTTTTTTTGCTCTCTAAAAACAAGCATGCCAATTTAATCCATTATGGTAGGACATGTGTTGTTTGTTAGCTTTTGTTTTTGTTTTTATGAGATAATGAATTGTACTCATCTCCCTTGTGATTTGGAGCATAAGGTTTCATATATGTGGGATGTGACAGTGGAATAGAAATATTAGCTGTTCTAAATAGAGATCATCCTAGCAATGTTGGTCTCATTAGCTCAAAAAGATAAATCCCAATTCTAGAAATAAAGAAATCAAACAAGGAAATGAAGCTAAGCAAAATTCCATTGAGGTAGTTTCTTTATGACAATTAATATTAATTTGGACAGCTACAATAAACACTATCTTGTTTCTACCAAATATCGTGATATGATTCCTTATCATGGTAAATGGCTATGATAGTCAGAGATAGAAATAAGTCAAATTTTACATGTTTGAAATTTGAGAACGGAAGGTATTATAAATAAATGTTTTCTAATGTAGTCGAAGCAAGAATTTTTCAATTATAATTCCAGAGAAAAATGGTTACAAATTAATCCCTTACAAATACATTGGCATATAAAATGTAAGTGGTAACATGTTATTAATTACCTTACCAAGCACTGCCTAAATCCAATTCTTTGGAACTTGCACGATTTTCTCAAAACATTTAACAAAGCACACACATATTTAAGATTTGCAGTTTATGTTAGTGTTCATAGTATGGTATTGATGCTGCTTACTCATCATCTGTAATACATTAATTCATTCCTACATTCTTCATGCATTTAGTATAGGGATATAGACAGGAATAAAGCACAGTTCCAGATCTCAAGAAATCACAACCTTTCGGAGATGATGAAGTCACCACAGTTTTCGAGGAGCCCATTCCCTTTCATTATATATATTCAAAGTGTAGAGTGGTAGATGATAAAGGATAGAAGCCTTGGCTCTGAGTCCTTCTTCTACCAGTTATTAGCTGTGCTCTAAGGAAAGCAGATTCCCATCAGTAAAATGAGATAGTAACCCAATTAATACTAATTGAGTTAAGAGAATTATGTGAACTAATGCGAACGAATCACTTAGCACAGTTCCTGGCACACTCAAATTGTTTAAAAAATTTAAGCTTTTATTATCATTACATCATTTGAATCTGGATAAGAATTCCTTTCTCTTTTTGCCCAGGAAAATGCTAAGCAATTTTTATGGATATACAGATCCTAGGTAGAAATACTGGAACCAAAACTTAGGTTTTGGTGCTAAGTGATTTATATGCTCAGTATTTTTCTTTCTGCTACATTAGACCTCTTCTGAAATAGCTTAATTTTCATAAATTCCTTGAAAGAATAATGCTTATAATTAATATGGGAAAAGCATTCATGCAGTTCTCTCTAAATCTCCTTTTTTTCTGGCTACTAATTCTGAGAGCTACTAATTCTGTTCTTTCACAGAAATATTTCTAATATTGCAGCATGATACTTGCAACTAAATGATGATTAATAATTACAGGATAAATTATTCACTTTTTCTCAACCAATTATCACCACATTATGAACTCATCAACTTTAGACCCTTGATTAACTCTTACTTTGTAGCTATTAAACTTAGTTTCTTGAAAAAAAAAAACACTTAAGAAAAAGATGTTAAGCATACACTAAAGCTTTGTCAGTTCTGTTTTCAGGCTACAGTATTTTTTTTGACTACTGTGTTATACACCCCATTGGAATCCATTACTGTGGCAGGTTTTTCTAGGCAAATAGCACACCAGAGGGAAGTTTGGGTTTGTGTTTTCTTCTTTCTGATTTAGTTTATTCTTTGGTTGCTAATTTGCATTTTTCTCTGAAGAAGATTAGAATTATAATACATATGCAAAAGCATAAAGCAAGGAAAACAATACCCTCCCCCAACTAAAAGTATGACCTTGGACAAATCACCAATTTCTATCTCAGTTTAAACATCTATAAAAGGGATTAATAATTCCTAGTGTAAAGCTCCGTTTTGCAGAAACAATGTGATGATGTTCTGGAGCTAGCCAATTGTTAATGGTTCAGGAATATTGCAAGCTAGTTGTTAAAACCTTAGTAGTTTAAAATTGGCCATGGGGATAGTATCTACACCATGGAAATTGACAAATGCTGCAAAGTAGAGTTTTTATTTTCCTTCCCAGACAGGGGGTTTACCAGCAGCGCATCACGGAATAACACTTGTAAACCATTTAGCCAAGTTCCAGATCTGTATTAAGAATTCAAAATCTTAGTTCTTAGGAGTATGATTATGATGTTAATTCAGAAATCTGCATAGGAGTGTTTTTTTTTCTTGTAGTTACCTCTCCAAAGGCTTGTACCAATTTATATCTTTAAACTAACAATATAGATGTCAAGATGTTTGTGTTATGAAATCTGCCTTTCAGTACTAGCTCAATAGAGTAAATTTGAGGAATATGCAGTTTCATGGGAGAACACTTCTTATTAGTTGATAGCTAAGATGCTTTAATAAAAGAGAGATGCAGAAATGCTGCTGCCTGCAGGTCGTTGTAAACTTCTTGTTTTGTTCTTCCTCTTCAGTGTTAGTACAGGAAACATTTCATGAATTAATCTGGACTAACATAAAAAAATAAATATTTTCTAATCATAATGTACATCCTCATCTCTCTTCATCTTGTATCTTCTATTTTTTGTGTTTTTTCCATGCAATGAACTTGGCTTACCTGCAAGTAAACTGTGTTTGGAAATTAAATACAAATACAACATGTGTTTTTAATGACAGGGCCCATGGCTTGACTCTGAGAACATCCATATATCAAATACTTTTATGGCTTTGTATGCTACTTGATCTGGACATTGGAAAAACAGGAGTCCAGGCAGAGCAGAAGGGTTTCACAAACCTTGCTTGTGCAAGTGATTAGAAGTGGCTGTTTGAATTCACATTTCATCTGGTGAACTCAGAAACGGACCACACTTTTCATTAGGATTGTTTCCACTAGAAAGGTGTGGGAATCTGCTACAGCTAGATAGCAGATGTTAGGGATAGAAAACTCTCCATTAAAATATAAAATAGGGATGTTTTATAGGATTTAGAGAACAAGAATTAAAATATGTTGAAGGGGCCGGGTGCAGTGGCTCATGCCTGTAATCCCAGCACTTTGGGAGGCTGAGGCAGGCAGATCACCTGAGGTCAAGAGGTCGAAACCAGCCTAACATGGTGAAACTCTGTCTCTATTAAAAAAAAAATTAGCCCGGCATGGTGGCAAGTGCCAACAGCTACTCGGGAGGCTGAGGCAGGAGAATTGCTGGAACCCAGGAGTTGGAGGTTGTAGTGAGCTGAGATTTCACCATTGCACTCCAGCCTGGGTGACAAGAGTGAGAATCTGTCTCAAAATAAATAAATAAATAAAATAAAATAAAATAAAATAAAATAAAATAAAATAAAATAAAATATGTTGAAGGAATACACTTACATATTTAGAGTCAATATTGACCAACAGAAAAATATGTTTTGACCAAGGCAATTTTATTTTTAATGAACAAGTTCAGAAAAGTTACTGTTCAGATCCAGTTATATTTCCTTTATTTTCCTATTATCTTATTGGTATATATTGTTTTGTCTTACAAAATATAATGGATGTACAAATTAAATAAATATATATTATATATATATCCTCACACTATTTTTTCTGATTATAAATGTTTTATAAATCAATGTGAAAATTGAAGAAATAGAGCAATGTGCAAGGCATTGATGATTTTATCACTCAAATACAACTACTGTTAAAATTTGGATAATAATCTTTTAGGCTTTTTAAAAAAAATTCAAATAAATATAAACCCATTTGAATGTAAGCATGCATATGTATGATTGTTCATTTGCTTTTTTATGTATTTATTTTAAATATGGGGACAACTTGCTTTTTTATCTAATATAGCATATTTTTCCATGCCAGCAGATGTAGACCTATTTCATTATTTTTAATCTTTATATATAATTTTGCTGCTTTCAGGTACCATAATTTGTGTAACTGATTTGTTGATGGAAATTCAGGAGTTTATAGTTATCAACATTAAAAACAATGGCCTTTTGTATGTATATCTCTTCTCTATATCTATACATAGTTGTATATTTGTGAATATTTCTATAGAAAAAGAATACCCAGAAGCAGATAGCTTTTTACTATTTAAAATTTTCAAAATGATACCACAGTGGGCTTTATGCCCATTTTATTGCTGAGCTAACTAAATAGTAAAAGGGTTAAATCATCTATACAAGGTCATGTAGCTAGTCAGTAGAAGATCCAGGCTGTGTCCCCACACTGTACCTGCATAATCTGACTGCAGAGCACTCTACTAAGCTGTTCCATTATTTCTGTCTCTTGGTATGATACTTATTTACATATTTTAACATTTATGAAATTGGAATCTATCTCCCCATTGAGGCTATCTTACAATTATATTCAACTAGGAAAGAGCATGGCATTGATGTCTTTGCTGACATATATGCACATTCCGTGGTTATTACAGATTCCATGACTAGACATCTGTAACTCTTCGACAAAGCACATAAGGACTGTTGAAAGCAGGAATATGCATCCTGCTTGTTGTTTAAAAAAATTCCACTGATATCTTCATTTAAATTAATGTAACAAAATTTGTCAAATGGGTGTCAGAAGTCTGGAAGAAACCCCTATAAATGACAGTAGAGAATTCTACAAAGAAGTATTGCATCACCCACAGTCTTTCCAGAATAGTGGCTAATACTTGGCAGAAAAACATAGATGTTCTTAACTCTGTGTCAAAAAAATGTTTAAGAAGAACTGGATCCCAAGTGTAATCTTGTCGTAGTTCATATGGGCTGCTAAAACAAACTACTATAGACCGGGTGGCTTATAAACAAGAGAAATTTATTTCTAATGGTTCTGGAGGCTGGGAAGTCCAAGATAAAGGCTGGCAGACATAGCGTCTGGTGAGGGTCTGCTTTCTGGTTCATAGCCGTCTTTTTCCTGGGTCACCACATGGCAGAATGGACCAGGGATTTCTCTGGGGTTCCCTTTATAAAGGCACTAATTCCCTTCAGGAAGGCTCTACCCCATGACCCAATGGAGGCCCCATCTCCAAATACCATTGTAATGCGGATTAGGTTTCAAGATATGAATTTTGGGGGACATATTCACTCTGTTGCAAATATCAACCAATTGGTTTAATTTATATATTCATTTTTTGTGTATGTAAGAGTGATACATCATAAAGACCAAGTCTAAATGTAAAAGACCTCTTTGGGTAAGTAAAAATAAAAACAATAAATGACAAGAAAATATTGTACATAGTATAGTTCACATTTTTTTCTTTTCTCTCAATATATAATTTAAAGATACTTCTCCCAATCGATGGCATTTTAGATTCAATAAAATATATTAGTACCTATCTTTTGGAGTTGTTATAAGAATGACTAAATGCTTAGAACAGTGCTTAGTATGAGAAGAGTATTTTATAAATACTAGTTATTAAAAATATTTAATAGAAATTGCAAATTTTCTTCCAAAAAGGGTGATCCAATTTACAATACTAATTAACAATTTTATTACAGTAATTTATAACCTAAACATAATTTGGTATAATTCTTCATCAAAGAAAACAAAGTTATTATCTCAAACTATCATATGTGACTGTATAATTTCTGCACAGATAAGTCTAAAAGAAAAAAAACCTTTGACACAGTCCCATAATAAATTCTACCAATTATTTTCTCAAGTAGATATTTATAACTTCTGGGTTTCATATAGGAACGAAGATTGTACTTTTACCAATGACCCTTTGACCTCTAGGTAATAATAATTATTATTCAACAGATGAACTGTACAGTTTTTCTTCAGTATCAGTGAGGATTCATTCCAGGACCACTGCGAATACCAAAATTCATGAGTGCTTAAATTCCTTATATAAAATAGTGCAGTATTTGTATATATCTTATGTATATCATCTGATATTCTTTAGATAATCACTAAATTACTGGTAATACCTAACACAATGTAAATGCTGTGTAAACAGCTGTTACACTGTATTGTTTAGGAAATAATGAGAAGCAAGAAGAGTCTGTATATGTTCAGTACAGATGCAACCATTATTTTTTTTCCGAGTGTTTTCAATTAGCAGCTGATTGAATTCATGGATATAGAACCCATAGATATGGAAGACTGACTGTATTTTAAAAAATTAAGAAAAAGTTAAAGGAAATTTTTTGGCTGCATATATTTTTTAAAGTAATGAAAACATAGTATATAACCAAATTCAGGAGTATTTTTGATATATCTGAAGTGAGTCAGCTTTCCATGCAATTTCTTTTTGAGACTTGGCCCTTTATTGATTCAGTTTCCTCATCAATGAAAACGATATTACACTTTGGCTTTAAGATATTGGAATTGTTACTCCCTACTTAAGTTTTTGCTCCAAATGTAGGGGTATTAAACAGCTATACGCAAGAATTAGAGAAATAAAAAAAGTTTCCATAAAGGGATGACAAAACACTTTCCACCTGTTATATTCTCATGAGTCATCTACTTGAGGTCATTTTCTTAGGATTTTTTTAGAACCAGACCTCAGGAGTTCCTGATTTCCTAACTTTCATGCTAGAACCTAGGAATAGTTCTATAGGCACAAGAAGATGCTGAAAGAAAGATTCTGAATCTTCTCAACTTTCTACAAAATCTTTTTGTTTCCAATAATTAATATATGCTATCAAGTATGGCTAGCATTTCTGATGCAAAAATGTACGACTAAATATATTTTAGTTTTGTTCCCACATAAAATTAATGGGTTTCTCTTTCCCTTTTCCATAAGAGGACACATTTATTGAACTCTTGGAATCATTACAAGGTTTAATTTTACAGTCTTTCTTGGTGGATCATGTGCTCAGGCTTTGTTGTGGGCCAGGCACTGGCCATAACCATTGAAAAGACCAAGTCCCAGCTACACAGCTGACAAACTTTCATTCTGAGACCCTTGAGAGAATGAATGAAATATTGTTCACCTCCATCTCTTCCCCGCACTGTCCCTTCAGCTTCCACAGGACTAAAATAGCAGAGTCTTTAGGCATACGTGCACTTCTGTAGGGTCAGAGCAAGTCAGAGGGAATTACCATTTAATTAGGTGCAAAGCTTATTTTCTGAATCATTTGACTTTTTCATATATCTTGTAAAAGAAAGTAAACATTTACACTTTCAAAACAATTTTTAAAAATTTGTGCCTGTTGACACCTCCAAGAAAAGGAGGATTCTATTGGTAAGAAAAATATAGAAAAGCATATAAAGTACATTATTCATCTCTTTAAATATTCATCACTTACCACTAATGTACTCATGTATGAGAAAGCGTATTGCACATTACATGTGGAATTGCTTTCTTATGTATTTTCATTCAGTCATCTCTTTAAATCTCTGTTCTCTTAATTGTTGTAGATATTCCAAGGAATGACCAAGTCAAAGCTTGAGTTGTTCCAAAATTATTTCAATGGAGATTTCAGTTGTTTAGGGGCTATCTGGGGAAGAAGTTTATCTTCATGAGGACAGCCAATAACTGGGTCACTCATGGATATCCACTTCAAGTCCAAGAAATTATCACATCTACCGAGCGAACAGCATGGCTCTACTTACCTGAGGAGGGGTGTTGTGATTGAGTAGTTTAAGCTTAAAAATGTATCAGAGCTCATGCCAGTATATCTAGTACAGTGGTTGTTAAGATACGTAAACAACTGTAATTGAAAGTGGAGTCAAGCATTTAGAGGCAGAAACACTAATTAGAACTAATTGACAAGTGTTATAACACTCACCAGGGTAGCTCTTTACATAGGAAAATGATAGTTGTGTAAATACAGTGATTAATTGTATTCACTTAGCCATTATTTTTCTTCTTGGCATCAAGCTGGCCCAGTACTTGGCCACTGATCATAACTTTAAATTTATGGTAGGTTTCTAAGTGAACATTTCTGTTTTTCAAGCCTGTCTTGCCTCTGTCATTTATATACATGTGTATTTGTGTATGTATGTATTGTGTGTCTGTGTGTTTTATCACATTTATGTGTGTATGTTTTACTCTAACATCTCTGTTGGATCTAGACTTGGGTTGAAACTATCTTTAATCTCTGTCTTAGAAGCTACTTTCAATCCATGAACTTGTTAAAAAAAGTTATTGCAGGATGGTAAGCATAAATACAATTATTTCATGTACTTTTTTTGTAACTTAAATATTCTGGTAGGAATTTGAAAGCAAGTGTTCCAGTCTGTCATCTAGCATTTGCTACAAATACTACAATTCTCTTAAGAGAAAGAAGTGTTATGCTGAATTTATTACTTATCTATAAGCATATTTTACCATATTAAAAATGTAATTGGAAGACTACTAAAATAGAGGTTTCACTGAGAGCTAAACAAAAGAAAACACATTTGACAACTCCTCATAAAATGAAAATGGTGAGGGAAAGTTTGTTAGACACTTCTGATGTGCACTGGAGTGGAAGGGCAAGAAGGCTCAGGAAAGTTAGGAGAGCTGGTTCCAGCTATGATTCTATCACTAATGATAATTATAACCAAGGAAAGCCACTTGAGCTCTTTTGATCTCAGGTTTCCTGTCTTTAAAATGAGAGGAATGAAGCAGATGTTTTCCAAGGTCCTCCTTTTCTTTAAAAAATTAGTCTATTGAGAATTATTTATTTTGAAATATTTCCAAGGTAAGTACACCAGACTGAAGTTTGGCCCATTTTCATAAGGAGTGGTAAAGAGCCTCTGACAATGTTAATAATGGCTCAGACATGGGATTGAGTCCCACCCAGTTTATAACCCTATAACCCTTATGGGCTTTGCCCATTTTCTCAGGTGTAGTGGTGGGACTGGGATAAAGTTAAGGGGATCTGGTATACTTGGATTACTCCATCCATTTCTTCTTTTTAATTACATAAGTATTACAAATCATCTTCTGAATTGATTTATTTTTACCATTTTAGGGCAGAAAAGAGGATAAATTTGAGGGTGTTGGTGATCCACCTGTACATAAAATGATACACACATTTTTCTAAAGAATATCTGTCTGATTTTTGTAACCAAAGTCATTACAACCTCTTTTACCCTCAGAATAAGTTAATATAAACAAGAATTTTATTACTATATTCATTTCCTATGTCTGCTGTAACAAAGTACTACAAACTGGGTAGCTTAAAGTTATTCTCTCGATTCTGGAAGCTAAACCAAACTGTCGGCGGGGCCATGTTCCCCCTGAAGTCTCTAGGAACGAAGCTGTTTCATGCCTCTCTCCTCACTTCTGGTGGTAGCCGGCAATCCTTGACATTTCTTGGCTTGTAGAGGCATCACTGCAGTCACTGTTTCTGTTGTCACATAGTGCTATCCTGTGCTTCTGTTTCTTTTTGTCCAAATCTCTCTCTGTCTTTTTAAAGACACCAGTCATTGGATTTAGAGCCCAACTTGTCCTATATTATTCTTAAATATGACTTAGGTTGGCCAAAACACAAAATTACATTAAGTAATATTTTTCCTGATAAACTTTACATGTGTGAATTGATGGGATAATAATAGAAAATTGAGTGCATGCCAAATGTATTAAGTTGAACAATTCTGAGGAATCAAAATTACTATTGAAGGTGTAAAAGAAAAATGAAAAAGAACATGAGATAATGTTGATTTCTTTCACTCCTAAATTGTTTCCTTGATGGATTTTCCCCTCTTTTTCAAAAAATAATGTCTTTTAAGTTCTCCATTGACTATAATCTTACATATCTACTATTCCGTTTTCTTCAGTTTTATTTTTTCTTTTTCTCCCGACATATTGATTCTTATAATCTATTTTTAGCTTTGATATGAAAGTAAAAGCTGGTTGGTTTAAAGGTGATTTATTAGACTTGACTATCACCAGTGGAACTTGATCTAATTTAGTTACATATTTTTTTAAGGAAGTTACCATGTCTCATGTATTGTCAACTTTTAAAAAATTCTTCTTTTATCATCATTTTTCTGAATCTCTCAGTTCTCTAATACATTTACAATTATATTTTAGTTAAGATATTAATAATAAAAGCATAACCATGTTATTAAAATGTATAAATAATACATCAAGCTCAAAATATTAATGTATACACTTCATTGGAGAGAAATATGAGGCCCAATGATAGAGGGCAGGGCATGTTCAATGGAATATTGAACAGTGAAGTGACATGATCAAATCTGTGTGTACACATTTTAAGGATTTATCTTTTTAAATAATGAAGGGAAGTAAGAAGTATATTTCAGGCATTTACATAACTAAGGACTATGGTCTCTAAACCTGACAGTGCCAGTGATTATTAAACAGAAGAGAATAGATTTTATAAAAGTGTAGAATGTTGAATTGATAGTATATGTTTGCATAAAGAAGGGAAGGATTTGATGACACATAAGTTTCTGTATTAGGTCAATTTATTAGATGATGGTGACTTTAGCAGTCTATGGAACATAAGTGATAAGTTAATAGAATTTTGCAAAAAAGATGGTTGACTTTGTCTTCATAATTTGAGATGCTTGTGGGCCATCAAAGAAGGCACATCTAGACAAACTGATTCAAATGAAGCTCAGGAGTAATATCTTAGGATGAGCGAATTTACTTAGTATTTTTTTTCACTTTTTTCCAAAAGAGAATTTTCAGTGGTTTATGAACAATATAATAAAATAAAGTGAAAATAAGGAATGGAAATTCACAAAAAAAGAAAACGTAGGAAAATTAGAGAGAGCCACAAGTGAAATTCGTTAACAAAATGTATTGCCACACGTCTTACACAGTTGTTTAAAATAAAGTGGCAATGTTTCTCTAAGCTTTGCAGCAGCAACCATGAGATAGGGAACTCCATTAGTGTTAAGAGGGCATGGAGTTCTATGTTTTGTATATTGCCGTGTTGTGTTCCCTGAACCTGGAAGAATGTATGACATGTAGTAATTTTTCAGGAGTATTTGTTGAACGAATGCATAAAATAACTCATAGATTCTTAAATAATTTTATAGATAATAATTCTTTTCCCTAGGCAAAAATATTTAGGTGTTTGAGATAGATTTATAAATCTTTTATTCCAAGGACTTTAATATTTGGTTGATTCAGTTGTCCACAAGGGATCAATATCATTTTCACTTTGGGAAGGGAAGAGGATCTAGATTTTCTTGAAATAATTTTTTACCCTTAATATTGGCCTGTCCATAGATGCTCCAGGAAAGATTTGCTCATGAGGCTTTTACTTCATGAATGACCTTAGAAATACCTTTCAAAGGAAGGTGCTTATTCTGATTAAGTTCACAATTCATGGGGACAAAAAGGATAATTATCAAACTTGCTTATTCTAATTTTCAAGATATTGTGCAGGAATTTAATTCCCCCACCTAGGCAAAAGTTGCTTTCATTGCATCATTTTCCTATTTCCTATTTTCCTATGAGCATGCAGCCATCCCGAATGGCCCTGCAACTCCTAGATAAACAGAGAAAACCAAATTCAACTGATAATTTGCTAGGGGAGGATTAGATTCAGAGCCCACTTAGCATGACTACATAAATTATGACTACGTGTATGACCTTGTAGTATCCTGATTTGAAAAGACAGAAAAAAAATCATATAATGTGTATTAAATGCCAAAATCTTTCCAAGGAAAGGGATAAAAAAACTACTACATTTTCTTCTCTCATAAACACAAGAGACCATTACCAGATATTCCGAATATCCTTGAGTCCTAGGCCATTCCTTTGGCATCTCTTCTCTATCTCTCCCTGATTCAGTGACAGTATTTCTCTGCAATTTCAAAGATTTGTAAATCTTTCCTAAGGAGCAGGTGACTACACTTTATTGGAACAGAGGCTTTTGCAATTCCAAAGAAAAAAATTCTCTTTGCTCCGTCCTCACCAACCTTTGTGTCTATTTGCGCTTGTAATTGGCAGCCGATGCTGATTCCCAGATGCTTTCTTTCTTTTCTTTTCTTTCTTTATTATTATTATTTTTTTTGGGACGGATTGTCGCTCTGTCGCCCAGGCTGGAGTGCAGTGGTGCGATCTCCTCTCATTGCAAGCTCCGCTCCCCGGGTTCACGCCATTCTCCTGCTTCAGCCTCCCGAGTAGCTGGGACTACAGGCGCCCACCACCACGCCCGGCTAATTTGTTTTTGTATTTTTAGTAGAGACGGGGTTTCACCGTGTTAGCCAGGATGGTCTGGATCTCCTGACCTTGTGATCCACCCGCCTCAGCCTCCCAAAGTGCTGGGATTACAGGCATGAGCCACTGCGACCGGCCCCCCCAGATGCTTTCTAAGGACTCTCACTGCATCTGGTTGATGATGGCTGTCATGTGACCACCTCATATAGTAATTTATTTGAAGATGCAAATAACCATGCCTCTTTCTTCTTCTTCTTCTTCTTCTTCTTCTTCCTCTTCCTCTTCTTCTTCTTCTTCTTCTTCTTCTTCTTCTTCTTCTTCTTCTTCTTCTTCTTTTCTTCTTTCTTCTTCTTCTTTCTTCTTCTTCTTCTTCTTCTTCTTCTTCTTCTTCTTCTTCTTCTTCTCCTTCTCCTTCTCCTTCTCCTTCTCCTTCTCCTTCTCCTTCCTCTTCCTCTTCCTCTTCCTCTTCCTCTTCTTCTTCTTCTTTTCGTGAGCTGGAATCTCACTCTGTCACCAGGCTGGAGTGCAGTGGCGTGATCTTGGCTCACTGTAACCTCCTCCTTCTGGGTTCAAGCGATTCTCCTGCCTCAGCTTCCTGATTAGCTGGGTAGCTGGGACTACAGGCATGCACCACCACACCCAGTGAATTTTTTTGTATTGTTAGTAGAGACCAGGTTTCACATGTTGGCCAGGATGGTCTCGATCTCCTGACCTCGTGATCCACCCGCCTCGGCCTCCCAAAGTGCTGGAATTACAGACCTGAGACACTGTGCCCGACCCCATGCTTCATTCTTACAGGCAGTCCAATTGTTTCCTGTGCTTTAGATGGCTATGTGTCACTAATTAGATGACACTGCCCATTACTAGGAGACACAGCTTAGCTTTTCAAAAGACTTTCCAGATGCCCGCTCTCCATTATGCAGCATGGTGGGTCAAGAGTCTGAGTTGTCATGGGTCTCATGATTCTCTTCAGCCTGGAAGGTGTGGTGAAGAAGATAAAGCCATGATGTCAAAGCTTTTGACACTCTTATATTCTCAAAATCTGAGGCCAAAATATAATGTGGATAATATTTTTAACAGTATTTCTGTGTATATGTATATTGCTATATTTTATCACTCTAGTTTCTTGGAGACTTCCCACCAGATAACACTTTGAGTTTTTGTGCTACAGGGGAATGGTGCATAATTTCTAGAACAAGAGGGTCTTTATTCAGAACTTATTGTACACTTACATTTTTATTTGAGAACATATCAAGAAAGCCAGCTTTTTAAGAAGAGATATAATTTTGAAAATTTCTTTAGTAAATCAAATCAGGCCTTTGGAATCCATATCATGAAGAATTCTCCATAATGTAGAAATTATATCTTTTTCTGGCTAGGATTCTAGACCACAAGCTTGGCTGCCCTAGAGTAAAAGGAAGACATGATAGAACTGAAATACTGCTCCTTATGGTCTGTAGAAATTACGGGGAAGGGAAAGGAGAGACACACAGAGGAAAAAAGGATGAAAAATCAAAGTTCTCCTTCTTAGCATCTTCCACCTTACCTTAATCAGAGTCTGGCTCCAAAGGAGGGAGCAGTTTTGGAAATTCAAGTATTAGAAGCTTTAGAACAAAGGAACTAACAGTGGGCTTTTACTGGCATACTAAAGGGGGTGTTACTACCCTCAAGGAGAAGCCTCAAAGCAGACCACTTCAAATGTGACACTGAGGGGGCAGAAAAGGGCTAGATTTATTAGCCTGGGACAATGTTATTCCTCCTCCATAGCATGTACACAGGAGATAGACTGTGTGCCTCAATAAGGGGAAATGGCTGCTGATATGGCTGGTGAGCCATCAGATCTTGGGGCAGAGTACAGAAGTGATCATATGTGGGGGATTTTGACACCACAGTGGTGGGTGGGTGCCAGCACATCATAATGGGACAGCCAGATGGCTGCAGTGGCTTTTTGAATGTCACCAGCCCAGGGAACAGCTAGTCCAACCTCTCTGCAGCCAGAGACTTCAAGAATCCAGAATGAACCACACACGTTGGAAAGCCCCTCTTATTGTCTAACCAGTGCAAGACAACATGCTACCTTATACACCAAGATACCCTTTCAGAGAGGAGCAGGGGTAGGGAGTAGAATTTTGTAAAATGTAATATTTTCTTTAGTTATCCAGGCAGAAAAGCAGTTACCTATAAAGGTTGTTTTAATCATTGGGCTGGACTAAAATTAATTGGACCAAATTGCAATCACCTCTAACCGTATCTCCATTACCTAGAAGAACAAGGAATTTTTAAGAAAGATTGGGTCAGTTATAGAAAAATAAAGGCATTTTCTTTGCACACTGGGATGTGAGTGTATTGGAGACTCTGTTCTTAACTATATTTTATCTTTGTCCAGATAATTAGGAAATGGGACAATCCAAAGAACTTTTTGTACTAACATTATGCATGTCTAGTGTTGCATAGTACAGAAAAGTCTCAGAACCATGGAGCAATAAGTATTGCTCCTCATTGCTCCATGGCTGATACTGTTTAAAAATTCTGATCTATTGATAGTTTCAGAGGGTCTGCAGTGACAGTGGACCCAGAATCTCATTTTAAAATAATCCCCGGGCAGTGAAGCAAGAAAGACCTGGTTTGAGTGTGAGTATAAATGAGCTGAAAAATTACATTTCCTCCACCTTAGGGAAGTACTCAGGCTGGGGGTGCCCAGCACTTGTCAGGGACACAGCAAATTCCATCTTCATTTTGATGGAGGAAATGAGAGATTAAACTGAACAGCTGATTTTTATCCCAGTCACTCCACAAACTGTCAGTGTTTGTTTGAGATCTCTTTCTAGTAGGCTGTTTATCACTCTGACTTTCTTTGTTCTCGGCTTTGATCTCAGTGGACCAGATTCTTGTTTTAAGTAACTCAAGGGGAATTCCAGGACAAGGGCAACATTCTCTGATTTGATGTTTGGAAGCACCAGTTTGGCTTTCTCCATCGTTCGTATTTGCTTCTCGGTGTGTCTCTCTCATTTTCTTTTTTCACTTTAGTTCGTTTTCAGAGTGCAGAGTATCAGAGAAACAAGAAGAAGATGGGTCTTCCATAGAGTTTCTCTTTTGGATTGATTTTTCAAAGAGCTGCCGAATAGCAATAAATGCCTTGCTCTGGTTCTGCCGCATGGGAGTTAGTCCAAAGAGAAGTGTTTATTTCCTTGGTGAAAAATAATATCCAAGCTGGTTCGTGAGCAGTGGTTACAAGTAAACAATCATATTAGCTGATTTTTGTGTTACCAAACCCTTTCTAGACATGTACATTTGATTGTTGTAAAATGTTTTAAAATCATTGTTAATTTTTGGAATGCTTATTATTGTTTTTAGATTACTCATAGGTTTCTGGTTGTTTTTGACATTGTATATGTATGCTTTCTGTACATATTCATAAATAATACCATAAGTGCTATTCTGTTTTGCAGATTCTCCCCGCTTGAAAGATATGTCCTTATACATGTGCTAAGGACTCATCTGCATCTGAATTTGTTATAAAGCAACTTAGAATCAATATCCTTTGGGGGTCTACAAAAGTGTTTTATGAACACATTTTTAATACATATCACACACATATACATATATATTTAAAATCAAATAAAAAGTGGATATATATCATATTTAAGATGGTTTGAGATAGCTAAAATGACAGAGCTGGAATTATAATAAGTCAGTGCAGTGCAATGATCAGAAGCATAGAAAGTCTTTCTCCATATAATTATTAATAAAAGGAACATGAAATTACTTTTACTTAATAAATGCAGTATATTTAGCATGAAAATAATCATCTGAAAGTAGAGAACGATAGAAAAAAGGTGGGAAAAAAATATTTTGTACTTGAAGCTTGAAAACATTAATTTGGGTGACAGTTGGATGCCATCTATTCTAGGAAACCTTCCTTCACTGCCCTGTGCATTCGAGTTGTGTCACTCTTTGGTTGAAAGCAATGCCGCTACTTTGATAACACCATCCTTTGGCTACAGTATAGTTAAACTCTTTTAATATGACCTTAAAATGGCCCATACTTAGAGCCAAAGCTATTGTCATTGTCTGCAGAAAAAAATAGAGGATGATAAAGAGACTGAAGAAGGTGTGTCTGTGTGAACATGGCAACTAATACAACCACAATAAACTGAGTTCGTTACCTACTATACTATAAAAATAATACTTTTATGTGGAACTAGTTGTCTCACATATATCTTTAAACCATGTGAGTCTGCTCATTATTATATGCAAAAAGCTTCATTCTTCATATATTACTAGCTTTATGTATGATCCTCTCCTCTTATGGTCTACATAAAAGAAAGATATAGAAAACCCTTCAACTAGCTGAAATCCTTAGAGAATTTCCAGTTGGAGGCATTTTCTATAAAGAGGGGAAAGAAAAACAACACTGGGAATAAGCCTTCTCTGGAAGTTGGACATTTTATCCCATGAGTGTACTTACTTCTCACTTGTGATGTGAAGACATCATTCTTTAGCCGCTGCCCTTTAAGAAATTATCAGTCCTTTATGAAAAGGAGTTTGTCCTCAGCAGGTACCTGTAATGCAGTCTTATTAAACTTACCACATCCTTACTGAATTTTCAAATCATATTTTACTAGTCAGTCAACTAAAAAGTTGGTGAATCTGTACAATTTATTATCTTTATGTCTCAGTTTACAAGTTAACACAGCACAACATAACATATTGATGGCAAAATGTAAAACGTCACATAAACAAAGACAAAAGGCAAACAGATGGAAGCTAAACACAAAGGAATATAGATATGGGGTACAGAAAATGTATTTTTTCTTATTTTCAGTTAGCAGTCTACATTATAAAATTTTTGGCAAGTATATAAATTTTGGGCCAGAGTTTTGAATGAGAGATGCAATTATTCAAACTAGTTTTCATAAATTAAGAAAATCTCACAGGAACTTTATAAAGTTTATTAATTTGGTGTCTTGACCTTAGAGAAGGTATGCTGATAATACCTGAACTCATTTCAGATAATTCAGCAAAGCCACATACCAGAAACTCTCAGAAAGAGGGTTAGTTCTGAGAAGACTGGATCATGGAAGGTGAACCTTAGATAATTACAACGTTCATATATTTCTGAATCCACCCAAATATTAACCTACATCACATGAAGAAATGATAGAACTTGACACTGAACTGTACAAATTTACTAAACCTGAAACCTGGAACTAAACCTATAATGTGCTGCTTTTACTATAACACAAATAAAAATAAATTGAAAATGGAGTCAAACAAAGATAGTGAATGAGCCTCAAAATATTCTTGAATTTTAAACCTAAATGAATTTAGAACCATGACCTTCAGATATGTAGCTAAGATAGGATTAAAAGGACTCCGACAGCCTGTTCTTTAGCCTTGAGATTTGGTTGGTATATGTTGCCAACAATTATGCATTTGGAGGATGATTTAAAAAGGCACATTTCAGAAAATCAATGCATTATTTGGAATCCTGAAGTATCAATTTAACACAATCTGTGCTTTAAACAACCCTATTTTCCCACTAAATACACTTTTTTTTCCTTTGCAGTATATGTGTATTATTTTCTCTCTTACCAAAGTATAAGCCCCCTTGAACCAGGGAAAATGGTCTACAGTGTTAGCTCTATTTCTCTGCACTTTCCCTTTCCAGAATCTAGATTCTGGGTTCTTTGTATATATTAGCTGCTTAACACATGTTTGTATGAAGGAACACTAGTAAGTAGAACTCCTGAGATCTAAGATATTTTCCGAAATATATAATTCTTCCTAATTTTTTTCAGAGATTAGCTTAGCAAGTTGAGTGAATGTAGCTACTAATGTTTTACAGTAATTTTAGAAATTTTACGGAAAATATAACTAGTGCATCTATGTGGAATGTGGTCAACTTCGTGGACGGAAATTTATTTAATTAACATTAATGATTTATTTAACTAACAAACAGTTGTTGAGTTAATAGGTTCCTAATAGGTACCACTCTAGATTGGATACTGGGGATAAAATTTAATGTTCATATTCCTCAAGGAGATTATTCTCTAGAACTCTGTTAAATATCCCTATGTATTAAGTACTGTTTAGGGTGCATTGACTATTTTTTTCTCATTTAATTATCATAGCAGTTTATGATCTCCATTTTACAGATATAGAAACTAATGCATAAAGATGTTAAGTAAATTGCCTTCCAAAAGCCAAAACCTCAACCAAGAGCTGTCTGTTTCTTAAATCCGTGCTTGCAAATATGGCCATTTGACATGATTTTATGGACATCAGAAACTTTATAAAAATAAATCAGTTTCAAACACTTAAATTTTGGCAGATTTCACAGAAAAGTAGAAATATTTGGATTCTCTTGAAAAAAAGAAAAACCGAAAATATGGCAACAGTAGGCCTACATTCCACATAGCAACAATTGGCTACAACTGAGTAGTAATGACCCATTTTACACTGGCAATTATCTTTCCAGTCTGATGTAGTTTTCCCCTGGCTGCTTCCACTTGTTTATGCTATTTGCATTATTCTCACAGGTATCTGAGTTTGAGATTTCTGCATTCTTCCATGTTTTCACATATTAATTTATTCCATTTAAGAAACAAACACACTAGGATCTAATTTAAGAGTGACATAGGAGATTAAAATGGTGGCTTTATTACTGACAGAGCTATTAAAAGATAAGTTCTGGGTATAGAGCAACACTGGACTTCCCATTCCAGACCTCCAATATTAGACCGCCTTACCCATGATGTAGAAAAAAAGACAGATTAGTGTAAAAAGGAGTCAAATAAAATATCTCTAAGTTAAAAACTAAATTTTTCAACATAAAAACTATATGGATGGATCTAGACATAGCTGAAGAGAAAGTTAGTGACCTGGATGGTAGATCTGAAGGAATCACCCAAAATGATGACTAAAGAGGTAAATAGGTAAATAATATGAAAGATGATTTAAGAGATGTGGAGTATGGATTATGAAGGTCCACTACATGTGCAGAGGAGTTTCATGTAGAGCAAAGGGGAAAAAATGGAGAAAGGAAACATTCAAAGTAATAAGTTCTGAAAATTTTCCATGAAAGAAAGAACATGCAAATCCATAATTTCTAGACACAGTGAATCCAAAACATGAAAAATGGAAATAAGTCCACTCTAAGACACATAGTGGTGAAACTGTATAACATCAAAGACAAAGAGAAAATCTTAAATGCAGACAGAAAATACAGACGACTTGCTGGGTGACAAGTTTTTCTCAGAAGGCAGTAGACCAATGTCTTTAAATAACTTAGGGAAGTTAAGTTTTGCCTCAATTTCTATGGCTAGCCAGATTATCATTCAAGAGTAAGGGCAAAATAAAGACAGTTTCAGACAAGAAAGAATGAGTACATTTATAACTTACAGACACTTTTTAAAAGAATTTTAAAATAATACATTTTAGTAAGAAGAAAATCAAACATAGAAAGGGAATGGGAATAATAAAAGTAGTGATGATCAAAACAATAAGTATATGTGTTTATATTTACATAATACAAACATACAAAATATATGGACAATTGTGTCAGAGGCAAACCTATATTTGAAGGATAGGAGGTTAAACAAATTAGAGACCTAAGTGATAGATAGTAATGTGAAATATGGATGGAGATTACTGCATTCAAACTTTTGCAAGTTCCTGGTATTGTTTGCAAAGAGGTTAGGTCTATTTTTAAAGACGGATATAGGATAAAAATGTGATAAATATTTAACGGAGAGATAGACAAAAATGTTTAACAACTAATATGGTCTGGGCAAGAGCTAATTATAAAGGGTCACTGACCAATCAGAGTGGGTGGGTACCACGAACAACCAGGAGTGCTATTCTCATGCCTAACAGTTAAGTATTGGCCCTGATTCAAGGGTAGCCATTAAAATGATGGAAATTAATGCATAGTATCAAAAAATGCAGTTGAACAAAAGACAATACAGAATTTAAAAATCAATCCTGTAAAAATTAAAAACTGAGTCTAGAGAAATTAAGTGACTTGTCCCAGGTTGCACTGTGAGCCAGATGGAATTAGGACTAAGCTGGGATTTTTAATTAAGCCGGGTATTGCTCTGCTGTAGTATTCTGTCCCACAAATTCAATTTTCAAATCAATATTTTGAATGCATTTACTGTATTTACTTTATTTGGGTATTTATATGCTATTGTTTTTATTAATGATTCATATTTTACTGCTTTTAAACATCTTTTATGCTTTATAAAAGATTCTAAATATGTACATCTGTGATAATGTGCTTTAAAGAAATCACCTACAATTTTAATATTTTAAAAATGTGTATATATTTTGCCAAACTGAAAATATATAAAAATAGAAAAGATTTCCTGCTTCTATTAAAATTATTTAAATGTTAAATCATTTAAATGTTTGAAAATAGACATTATTTTTTAAATGTAAGAATTTATTCTCTGTATTTATACACATAATTTATTTCTAACATTTCAGTTGTTCTGAGGGAAATAATAGTTGTAAAATTATGTCTTCCTTTGTAATATGATTTCAAAAGGTAAAATACGATATTTTAATTAAATGATTTTTGGTATCCAAAGCAAAAAATTGAAAGCTTAAAAAAAAGACAGAAATATGGAGTCTAGAAATGATTTTCTGACTTTAGCAGCTTTTCCTTATCTTACATTTATTCTTTGATCCTGAATACTCCAGACGTAGTGTAAGCTAGCCTCCCTTTTCAATAGAAAAAGAAACAGTAAAAATGAATCTTTAGGATTCCATTAAAATCATTTGATAATACATTGGAGACTTGTTATTAAAGTTTGATAATGGTTTAACTCTGGTTTGTATGTTATCCATGGAGATTTTAGCCATAGAAGTTTAAAAAGTCCAGTTAAGTCACATCAAATCATTAAAAATTGAATTCCTGTTATCTAACAGAACAAACATTTTTGAAGACCTGCTGAAAGTTACTACTGTTTTAACCACTCTTTTATAATAGATGATTGATATAATATTGAATAGTAGTTCCTTGAACATGGTGCTATATATCTTACACAGAAGTGAAAACAAGAAAGAAATCCAGTAGAGCTGTCCCAGGAGAGGAAAAATAATTCTGGGTCAGAACTATAGGGACTGCATTAGACCAAAGTTGGCTATTACCTACAGAGGGACTTGATAGAAAATAGTTTCTTTTCTTATGAGTCAGCCTAGCTTTTGAGAAAAGGAACATAGTCATGGGATGACTATAAATAATAAGGGACCAGAGAGGAAAGGTGCTAAACCTCTTCCAGCACAAAAATAAAGGTTTAAGTTGTCCAGTCACAAGAGATTAAACCTAAAGCTACTGGAATTATGTTTATTAAATTCCTGAAACCCTGCAGGCTGGTTTATTTAAGTGCCTTCTCCCTAAGTTTCACACTCTACTTACATGTGTACAGTGAATTATGCATTTCTTCTGGAAAAATAAAGAGAAGTCTAACATACTCATAAAAACTTCCAAAGATGATTAGCCCCTTCTCCTGGCCACCAGCATGCATTCCTTCCATCACCCTGCACATGTCTGACAGGACAATAGGCACAGCTGCAACAGTCAACAATAATGTGCTCCAGGGGTGCGGGCTCTGGTCTGGCCCTGGGTCACCTTTGAGGATGATGTCATGTCATCATGCTCCATTATATCTGGTTATTAATCCTCCTCTTTAGACTTGTCAAAGAGAGGCTGCAGAGCTTTTGCAAGGCAGAGCCAGCATTTTGGACGAAGGTTGTGTTAGTGACACAGATGACATTGAAAGTAGGACATTATAAAAATTAGTTTACAATGAAAATCGTTCTTTGTCAGGAGTCTGGGTCAGACAGAGGATGATTCATCAGCACACAGACCACCCTTGGCCATAAAGCAGAGTGTTTTGCTTGCTTGACACCAGGAAGAGTTTTATTTAAATAGATCGCCAAGATGTTATTTTTGGATCTGGTCAGAATCTCATTGAATTTTAAGACATCTTTATGTTCTACTTGATTTCCTCAATTATTGAGCTTTACCTCTGGTATCAACTATTTTTGATTACATTTTCACACTATAAGTTTGCCAGAAAAATTCATACTGGTTATTATTATTTTTATGAGTTTATACACACAAATATGAAACATACAAAATAGGCTAGAATTTATTAACATAAAACATTTAATGTGCAAAGAGATAGGGCATTATAAAGTTATATGTCATGAGCATATTGAATGTGCCCAATTGCTTTTAAATGTCTAAAGTATAACCATTATGTGCTATTATAGGGATTATAAACTATATTGAAGTAATATATTTAAGCATCCAAAAAATCAGAGTAAATAAAAATAATTCTGTTCATTGGCTCACAGTTAGGAAGGAATGAGAGTAATAACAATAAAATAATAATGTGCAGGGAAAGACAAATACATCCTGCAGCAGCCTGAGCTGCAGCAGTCCTTGATTCAAGAGAGGGAGCCGGAGGCTTCCAAGTCGTAAAATGGATATTTGTCTGCCAAAGAAAGGCTGCACACGTCTTTTTCCCACTCTTGCCCTCCAGGGACCTATCCTGACCTCCCTTTGTCCCCATTGAGAGGGAGAACAGAGGGTATGAATATGGCTAAGAATATTTTGCTCCAGGAACCTGTGACTCTGGGAGTAGTTCAGCACCTGCATCTCAGGAGAGTAATTTAGCACCTGGATAACGCTGAACTTGCCGAGCGGGATCTGGGATGAACATCTGACTTGGGCCTTACCTTAGGGGCTGGTCTCATTAGGAGATGAAGTGACGTATGATTTCCAGTCTTATCACTTAACAAATGGGAAAACCGAAAAATAGATATGTGAAATGATAATTTATTCCACTTCAATTTTTCCTAGAGTTCCCTAGCTTGAAACCGAGAGACACAATTTTCCATGCTGGCAACTATAGACTTGTTTTCTCAGGAACACAGGATAGACGAAAGTATTCTAGGACAATGGTCTTTGCTTGCTGTTGTATCCCAGCCTCTCTGTCATACTCATTTGAGCACTTACACGTGCTGTTTCACCTTGTAGTCTCAGGAGGGTGAGCAGTGGAGGACAGGAGTCAACTGGGTGGGGCAGGCTAGTGCTTGGAAGAGTGGGGAAAGGCAGAGGAATGCCTCCTTGTCAGTCCTTGCTAGGCACACTCATAGCCAGTACAGCAGAAGATCAAGCTCATTACATAGAAACATTTTTTCTTATGGCAAGATGTATGAAAATCTTAAAGGTCAAGCTGTATGCTAGAAATTGTTGAGAGGCTTTGAAGCATTTTGTAACTGAATCATGAATTACAGTGTATGTTAAAATGATTATGTTTAAAAATAGGGCACATACACAGTTGAAAGTGACTTTGAAAATTCTCCTTATCCATGTACACTTGCAATCTTAGACATGTATATATTCATTTTTATACATACTCTAAATAAATTTTTTATTTTAGGATAGTTTCAGATTTGTGAAAAAATTGCAAAGCTAGTACAGAGAGCTTGTTTTCATATACCCCAGGCCCAGTTTCCCCTAATATTAGCCTCTTATATTATTACGATATATTTGTCACATGTAATGCATCAATATTGATATATTATTAACTAAAGTATTACTTTATTTAGATTCCCTTGGCTTTTACCTATTATTTTTTTCTTCTCTTCCAGGAACCCATCCAGTAAACCATGTTACATTTTAGTCATTTCCTCTTCAGCTCCTCTTGGCTGTGATGGTTTCTCAGACGTTCCTTGCTTTTGATGACCTTGGAGTGTTGAGAAGTACTGTTCAGCCATTTTGTAAAATTTCCCTCACTTGGGATTCATCTGATGTTCTTCTCATGTTAGACGGGAGCTATGTAATTTTGGAAGAAGACCATAGAAATAAAGTGACATTCTTGTCATTATGTCAAGTGTTAATACTATCGAAATGAGTTATCACTTCTGGTGTTGATGTTGCTCACCTGGCTGAGGTGGCGTTTGTCAGGTTCCTCCACTGTAAAGTTCCTCTTTTTTCCCAGTTCTTAGTGTATGTACTCTTTGGAAGGAAGTTGCTCTACTGCCCCATGTTTCAGGAGTGGCGAGTTATGCTTCTTCTCCTTGAGGGCAAAGTAACTGCATCAATGATTCAGAACTCTTCTGCATGGGGGGTTTGTCTATTCTCCCCATTTTTTTATTTACTCATTTATTTATATCAATATAGACTCATGTATTTTTATTTTATGCTTTGGTTTATAATTTAATACTACTTTATTTATTTTGTTGTTCCAGTTGTTCCAACTTTGGCCATTGGGAGCTCTTTCAATTGGCTCCTGGGTCCTGCTGACATATCCCCATCGTTGTGGGTTTTTTGAGAACTTTCTTACTTCCTGGCAATACAAAATGCTGACGCCTAGAATTAGACATTTCTTCAAGGAGTTTTAGATTTTTTAAATTGAAGAATGGTATTGGAATCCAGGTTTTGGCTGTTAAGTGTGCTTGTTGCTACTGGGGTGTCATTGCTACTAGGCCCTCTCAGCTGACAGGGAAAGGAAATACATGGGTGTATACTATCCCATATTGATGCATATATCTTTAAGTATTTCTGTATGTAACGATCATCACTAGCTGCATCCATATAAGCTAAACATTAATTCATACTGAGGTCTCCAACTTTAACCCATTACTACATGGACCATTTGAGCCTTTTCCCTTTGCTTGACTGTAAATTATCACTTCACTAATAAGAAAACTGTCTTCCACCATTCACCATTTATTTATTTAATTATTTAATTTATGTACATATGTATAATGATTTCATAAGTATTAATTAATAGCCTTATGGAGAATAACATTATCAAGTAGAGTACATTGTTCATATACAGTCCCTTTTGTCTTTGGTCTTACAGACTTGACTCATTTCCAAAGTCATTTAGGTGAGCCCTTTCCTACACCTTGATGTCCTCAGTGATTCTGATTTGTAATACAATGAAATTCTTTTGTCACATTCTGCAAGCCATCCTTTTATCCTCACGCTCCTAAATGATTTTTAAACCATTGCATACATTAAGATTCATGTTTTGAGCTTCCTAAAACATGCCTTGTACTTCATCTTCTGAACTCTTACTTCTTCATCTTGAACCTCTGGCAACCACTGGTCTGTTTATTGAGTCTCTGTAGTGTTTTCTTTTTCCAGAATATCATATAAATCACATAGTATGTAGCCTTTTCAGAGAAGAGAATTCAATTCTTGTCTCTTTTAGCTATGGAGACTGCAGGTATTCCTCAGTTTGTGGCCAAACAACTTTAGTGTCTGTTTCCTGTGTAACACAAGCTTCTGCTGTAGTCAAATTTCCCTCTGCCTCTCTCTTAAAATGACTTCTGTGATTATATTAGGCCTACCTTGCTAATCCAAGATAAACTCTCATCTCAACATTCTTAATTACATCTATATGCTACCATATATATGAGGTAGCATACATACGAAGTAGCATAATTGCAGGTTCTAGGTACTAGAATTTGGAGGGTTGGGATTATTATTCAGTTTACTATCATATTTATGAAATATATTGAACTCTAATATTCTTCTTTGGTAATGTCTTTGTCTGGTTTTGATGTTAGGGTAATATCGACATTATAGAATGAGTTAGAAAGTCCTCCCTCTGCTTCTATTTTCTGGAAGACATAATTGGTTTTATTTCTTAAATATTTGGTAGAATGATCAGTGAACCCATGTGGATATGATGCTTCCTTTTCTGGAAAGTATTAATTAATGATTCAGTCTTTAATAGACACAGAGCTATTCAGGCTATGTGTTTTTCTTTGTGCGAGTTTTGATAGTTTGTGTCTTTCAAGGAAATGGCCTATTTCATCTAAATTGTCAAAATTGTGAGGGTAGAGTTGTTCATAGTATTCCTTTATTATTCTTTTAATGTTTATAGGATCAATAGTAAGAACTCCTCTTTGATATTGCTAATTTACTTCTCTTTTTGGACTAGCTAGAAATTTATCAATTTTATTAATCTTTTTAAAAATCAGCTTGTGGATTCATTAATTTTCTTTATGATTTTCTTGTTTTTGATTTTATCAATTTCTACTCTAATTTTAAATGTCTTTTCTTCTGTTTGCTTTAGGCTTAAATAGCTTTTCTTTCTTTAGTTTTCTAAAGAGGAAACTTAGGTTACTGACTTTAGATTTTTTCTGATATATGCATTCATTGCTACACATTTTCCTCTCAGTACTGCTTTTGTCACTTTCTGCAGATTTTAATAAACTGTACTTTTCTCTTTATTTAGCTCAAATATTTTTTAATGTCCCTTGAGATTTATTCTTTTGCTTGTGGTGGGTTATTTAAATGAGTGCTGTATAATTCCAGATACACAGAAATATCCGTCTGTTTCTGTAATTGATTTACAGTTTAATTCCATTGTGGTCTATGGATATACCTTGTATAATTTATACTTTTATACCTTTTAAGATGTATTTTTGGCCCAGCATGTGAATGATCTTGGTAAAAGTTCTACGTATGCTTGAGAAGAATAAGTATTCTGCTATGGTTGGAAAAAGAATTCTAAAAATGTCTACAAGATCAAGTTGATTGATAATACTGTTCATGTCATCTATATCCTTACCAATTTTTGCTTGCTATCTTGCAATGACTTAAAAAGGAACGTGGTGTATAGTGTATAGTTTCCAACTATAATAGCGGATTTATCTATTTTTCCTAGCAGTTCTATCAGTTTTTTGCTTTATATATTTTAACATCTTGATGTTAATTACATACACATTTAGGATTGTTATATATTTTTGGAGAATTGGCTCCTTTATCATTATTTAATGTCCCGCTTTATTACTGATAGCCTTCTTTGCTTTGAATTTAGCTTTTTCTGAGATAAATATAGCTACTCCAGGGTTTTTTTGGTATGTGTTAGCATATTATATCTTTTTCTATCCCTTTATTCCTAGCCTATCTGAGTCTTTTAAAAAGCACGTTTCTTGTGGACAACATATAGTGGGTCTCGTTTTCTTATCAACTCTGTACTTTTCTCTTTATTTCTTAATTTCTGACATTTGATTGGTCCGTTTATGGTATTCACATTTTAAATGATAAAGTGACTATTCCTATGGTTATTTGTAACTAGCAAGGTATTTTCTTTTCTTTTTTCTTTTTATTTTTGAGATAGAGTCTCGCTCTGTCTGTCTCCCAGGCTGGAGTGCAGTGGCGCGATCTCGGCTCACTGCAAGCTCCGCCTCCTGGGTTCACGCCATTCTCCTGCCTCAGCCTCCCAAGTAGCTGGGACTGCAGGCGCCCGCCACCACGCCCGGGTAATTTTTTGCATTTTTAGTAGAGATGGGGTTTCACCATGTTAGCCAGGATGGTCTCTATCTCCTGACCTAGTGATCCACCTGCTTCGGCCTCCCAAAGTGCTGGGATTACAGGCGTGAGCCACTGCGCCCGGCACCTAGCAAGGTATTTTCTTTTCTAATTTCTCACTTTTTTCCTTCTCTTGTTTTAGTTGAGCATTTTATATAACTCTGTCTTATCTCCATTTTTCAGGTGTAAATTATACTTTTGTTATGCAGATTTTTAAAGTGCTTATCTTAGTTACAATGTACATTCTTAAGGAATGTAAGTTCCATCTCTTGTTACATTACACCCATTCATTTTATTTATCCCTATACTATATTTACGAAAACATTTTTACTGTTGTTGTCTTAAACAATGTTTACATTTAAAATCATTAAAAAAGTAAATGTTTTATCTTCACTTTGTCTTTATCCAATGCTTTTCTTTTTTAAATATATAGATCCAAGTTTTTCATAAATATTATTTTTCTTCAGTTTAAAAACTTTCAAGATTTCTTGTAGTGCAGGTATATTAACAATAAATTCCCTCAATTTGCTTTTCTGAGGAACTCATTATTCCTGCTTCAGTTTTTTTTTTTTTTTTTTGAGACAGAGTTTTGTTCTGTCACCCAGGCTGGCATGCTGTGGTGTGAACTCGGCTCACTGCAACCTCTGTCCCCCAGATTCAAGTGATTCCACTGCCTCAGCCTCCCGAGTAGCTGGGACTACAGGCACCTGACCTTAGGTGATCCACCTGCCTCAGCTTCCCAAAGTGCTAGGATTACAGGCATGAGCTACCGCGCCCGGCCTCCTGGTTCAGTTTTGAAGAATAATTTCACTGAGTCTAGAATTCTAGATTGGTGATTTTTTTTCTTTTAACTCTTTAAAATATGTCACTTCACTCTCTTCTTGCTTCTATGGTTTCTAGTTAAAAATTTGTAATTCTTATCTTTGTTCCTTTGTAGGTAAGTTGTCTTTTTCTCTGGCTTCTTTTAAGACTTTCTCTGTCTTCCATTTTCTGTAGTTTAAATATAATATGCCTAAGTTTTTTATTATTGTTTTGTTTTAATATGTAGTTTAAGCTCTATCATTAATCTTGGCAATTTTACTTCAAATATTTCTCTTACTTTGTTTTCTCTTTCTTCTCCTTCGGAAGTATTCCAATTATGTATTTGTTGTGCTTTTTGAAATTATTCCACAGTTCTTAGATTTTTTATCATAATTTTTCTCTTTATATTTCAGTTTGAGTTTTTATTGACCTATCTTCAAGTTCACGGATCTTTACTTGACAGCATCCCATCAAAAGTGAGTCAATTGAGGGCATGCTTCACATCTATTACTGTGTTTTAAATTTCTAGCATTCCGTTTTGATTCTTCCTTAGAATTTCCATCTCTCCACTGAGATAAACCACCTATTTTTGCATGCTGTCAATTTTTCCTGCTAAGGTTCTTAACAAATTAATTATAATTATTTTAAATTCCTTGTGTGATCATTCCAATATCTGTGTCATTTCCCAGTTTGGTTCTGATGATTGCATTCTCTCTTAAGATTGGGTTTTTTCTTGATTTTTGGTGTGATTTGTAATTTTTTGTTGAAAGTTGGACATGTTGTTTTGCAACTGAGCAACTGAGATCAATAGGCTTTCATTGTGAGGATTCAGAAAATCTGACCAGAAGTTTGACTGTGTTTAATATGTGCTGTTACCAGAGGTACCAGAGGTTCAAATTTCTCTATTGTTATTTATTTATTTATTTTTTCTCCTGCCTTGATTTTGGGCTTTCCTAATACTCTTCCTCAGAGAAAGTGTGTATCTTGCAGGTCTTTCAGTTGTAATGCATTGTTATCATATCAAATCCCTATTGGTATAGTGGTAAAATGTGGGGAAGGTGAAAAATTCTGTTGTCTTCTGATAATGGCTTGATGTGTCAGTGGGCCTTTGTCTTGAGGATGTGGCCTTCAGAAGTGTTTCTCTAGTGCTCTAACTCCCCCATCCTCTCCCCTCTGTTCTCTTCCCTGACTGGAGTTTCCAATCTATTTTCTTGAAGCCCTAACTGTTTGAAATGTTTTCTTTCTTAGATAAAACAGGGAGGCTATAGGGCCTGAGGTGGAATGAATGCCCTGCCTCTGATTGGGATAAGTCCCAGACAAGTTCTTTATTACAAAGAAGGCTCTAAGAATATTTCATAAAGATTACTCTTCCTCCTGGTGCCAGAGCTATGAGTATAACTTTCAGATCTTTGTAGTGAGACACTGATGGGGTTCTTGGAAGTAAATCCCATCAAAGTGTTCCCAAAAGTTGACTACTCTCCGGCAATCCAAATTTAATTCGTGAAAATTATCCTTTAAGAATTCATATTAGTTTATGGCTCCAGTAGCTTCTGCTCTGCTTAAGTACATCTCAGTTGCAGTATCTCAGGATATTGTTCTTCAGATATCAGGATGATGATTTTCCCTACAACCTTGGTTGTCTGAGAAGTCCAAGGAAAGTGATGGATTTTCAGATTGGCCATATTTTTTCCTGTTGTATGGAAAGAGTGATGACTTTTATGGTCCTTATATACTGGAGCTGCAATTAGAAGTCTGTATCTATTAATTTATTTTTTTCTATATTTGTAATGCATGGCCTCAGTGATATAGGTTGGACTTATACCATCATCATTATTTCTATGGTTGTAATTTCTTTCTTACTTTTTTTTCTTTGCCCTTGTTGGAAACAGAATATTTACTCATTAGAACCTCCATAAGACTTACTCTCTTTGCTCTGGAAGTCTTTTCATTTGATAGGTAAAAATCAGCTAAATAAATTCTAGGTGAGACACAAACTGGAACAAGTTTTCTACCCTAGAAGAGTTCAAGGTCTAGTGTTATAAATAGACAAGTACCAGGATAAATGAATGGGTAGGGTGCTAAGAGAGCAAGAAGGCATATAAGTTAGACTCCAGGTCAGGGAAGGGTTCTGGAAGAAGTTGATGGAATCAAGAGTAGAGCTTAGGTAGGTAGAATGAAGGTTGAGGAAGAGGGGAAGAGAAACATTTTGGTTTGGGAAACACCATATGGAAGCATGAAGGATCAACAAAGAAGCATGAAAATCACTAGGTACAGTGTGAAGAAGAGTACTATCTGTGGCAGAGTGGTGGGCTCCACCAAGGCATTTGAATTTTATCCTGAAATCTATGTGGGAGCCATTGAAGGTTACTGAGCTGCACTATGCTTGACACTGCATTTTTTATTGAAGACTGCCTATCAAAGGGAGGACAGGCAGGTTCAGGGGCCAAGGTCTCTGTGGAGAATTCAAGAGGGTCTGAATTAAGACAGTAACAAGGGGGTGAAATAAGGGACAAATATATAAGATATTAAGATGCACATATTGCATATGTGTGGGAAGTGGGAAAAGAATGTGTATAGGAGTTTAGGTGAGTCACAGGTTTCTGTGATTTCAGTGATGGGGGATATCATAGTGACATGCACTGAGATGGGGTACAGAAGGAGGAGCAGGTTCTGTTTGGAAAGTGAGGAAGAAAGGCATGCTATTGCCTTTGCAATATTATTTCTATATATTTCAAGAGTACAATAAGAATTTCTTATTTAAGTATTCTAAAATAGACTATAGGGTGAAGAAGAGGTATGAAATTGCTGCTGTCATTTTGACGAATCAAGTTGCACTATATTCTACTCTTGAATGGAAATTGGAAACCATTATCATAACTAAGTTCCAAAATCAAACGCAGTGTCTTATTTCAGACCATATCTTCACAGAGAGGTCATGTCCTACTCATCTATGGCAACTCCAGGAAGAATTCCCTTTTGAACAACAACATACTACTGGACTTGAAGACCTGCTTAAAAGGATAAGAAAATAAGCAACGGAAACAGCCACAGATTAAATACTTTCTTTGATTACTTTCTGACTGATTAATGAGGGAAACTAGATAAGAAAATTTCTGACTTTGGCAAAAATTCCATCAAATACACAGAATTGTGAAAAATCCAACTAAAACTCTGAAGGGCATCTAATCTAGAAAAACTAGACTTTTTTTCTGATTAATGAATAGAGTTTAAGAAGCACATTTTTTTATAGTCAATGATAGGTACATTTCTTACCCCCCAACCTCCCTGGTAACCATCATTGTAATATTGCTCATATAGCATTTGAGTTTTCTTCTTCGCTTTATGTTTATTTTATATATTAGTCTTATTTTCATTTTTAGACTATGAGCTTCCTAGGAGAAGGAAAGGGTAACACATAATAGGTGTTTAGTTAAAAGTAATCTTTTAAACAAACATTTACTGACTATTCATGATGTGCTTAAGAAATATGCCTTTAATGGAATGGCATGTTAGTGAGTTGAGTAAGTAAATTTTGATTGTGATGTTTTTAAATAATCAATGCAATGTTTTGAAGGATATCATATTAAGTAAATAATTAAACCAGATTCTCATTCTTTGAAATTGAGAAAATCATCTTTTGATTTTGATCCACCAGATAAAGTAGATCTTTTTGTTTTAAAAATAAACATATTTTTAAAAATAGACAAATTTTTGTTGACAAAATGCAAACAGAAGCACATAATGGGTCATTATAAAGAGATAGAATAAACTTTTAAAAACTTGAGAGTACTGATATTGGAGCACACAAACTGTCATCAAGAAGATAAGTCTCATTTCAGAGTGATACACTAATACATAAACACAATGTCAGTTAGGGACATATTTACACCTAAAGTTATAAGGTTTTTGTGCCATAATGAGAATTTATATGTCTAATATTACTTCATATTTGTCAACAACAATGAGCTCCCTTTTACATGGAGCTACAGAGGTGTAGGGTTTTACTGGCATTCATTTTCAGTTATGCATCAGCAGGTTCACCTCTGTTTTGTTTAATCCACAGAATGAATGGAAACCATAAACTAAGAATATACTGTATCAGTTAAAGGTTTACCAAATGAGTTCCCAAGGTTTCCTTTTCTCACTAAATGCATGCCTGCATGGTGGAAAAGGTCTCTGAAATGGAATGCATCCTGGCCTTTAGGCCTGGGGATACATTATTTCAAGCATATCAGGCTGCTTGGTCTAGTGCCTTTTACATGGGAAACGTCTAAAGACTTTGTTCCCTCACAAAGATTTTAATAAAAGTCCAAATAAAATTGATTCTGTGTTTGGCTTTGTTTTGATTTGGGGGATAGAAACTTTGATATGCTTATTCATTTATATTGTTTTAGCTCCCATAACTAACCACAAGGAAGAGGATAGTGAATATCCTCTTTATTTGTGAATAAAGTCATATATCATGCCTTAAACTTCCAAGGTAAACTTGTTGGTTAATTACTTAAACTGTGATATCAGATTAAAGGTGATTTGCCTGGTTTGGGAACGTCATTTGGTGATGTTCTGATTAATGCACTACCATGAGCAAAGGCAACAGATTAACTATAGCATGAACAGTAACACACTAATTCCTCACTGAAACTCTCAACAGTTGAGTCACATGCAGATTCAATTGTTTTACATGTTTCACAATCTTTTTTCCCTAATGGAACAATAAACATTAACTCATTACTCTGAAAGCACCTTAAGAAAATCTGGCTGACATACATTACTCTCTATTAAAATTTTTTTCTTGATTACAATGCCAACTTTCCTTTCTGCAGCGCGATAGAGTTGTATTTTATTTTAAAAGAAACATGATTAAACTTCCCCACAAATATTTCAGATTTGTTATGGGCCACTAAAACGTCAGATCTCTGATAGTTCTGTCAATTCATTCTTTTTCAAGATGATATATGAAACATACTGGAGAGTGGGGTATGTTATAATCTGGAATTTAGAACTTGAACAGAGACTTTTTTAAGGCACTAAGATTACTTAAAAAAAAAAAAGGCACAGTGCCTTTTTGTTCCAAATGTGTTTTCCAACACCAAACATTCCTAGAAATACTTAAATCATAATGTCAATGTCCTTGCATTTACAACCATGATACTTTTAATATGGAAGTTCATGCTACATTTTTCCATTTTTCAGTTTTACTGAAAACACAGAAGAGATCAGTGGAAACTCTCTGCAGGCTTTTTAGAGGCAAAGCTGAAGTCCAGGAAAACTTTGGTGGAAGGCCTTTGCTGTCCAAACCCCTTGTGAAGGAACCTTCTGTCCTGTAGTGGGATTGCAGCTTCTTGGAAAGGGGAGCCATTTATCACAGTCCTAAATGAAAGCATTCTTTAAACACAAATGTCTTTTTTTCCCTTTGTCTAATTACTGAGAGGAAAAGTGAGAAGGAAATGTCAAAACAGAGAAACAGTGGTGTATAGAGAGAGCAGCCACTCTGGAGCTCAACCAGCTTTTGTGAGGGTCTGGGCGATTTGTCAAATGGTTGTGGCATAAGTCAAGCTCTGAGGTTGAAAGGTCTTGACCTAAGGAGTCCTGGAATCAGACAGTGTAAGCAAGGGGTCTGCTAGAATTTTCAGCTGTAGTGGAGATGAACAATGATGGGAGCTGGACATAACAAAACCTCATTTGCATAATTCAGGTAAGTAATTTTATTGAAACTGACAAGGATGTGACAGGCTAAGAAAGAGAAGAGAACACACTCTTGCTGGGAACCACTAAAGCTTCTCAGTTAGGTATGTGAAAATAAATGACAGCTAATCTCTTCACTAAGAAATCTGTAAACAATGCCATTTTACCCAGGACTCACCCATGACCTTTTGTAGAGCTGGTTATAGATTCCTTAGTCCAGTCTTCCAGAATATAGCAGATGGAATGGGCTAAATTCAAATTATGTTTTAGGCTTTACATTATAGTAATTATTTACCTGAATAGGAGTTCCCTCCAAAGCAGGTCTACATTGAGAAAGAAAGAATAGAAACTTTTTAAAGTGGGTGGTGATCAAATATTTGAGATCGATGCTATATAAAATAATATTTTTACTTAAGAATTGATATTTTGGGGGGGACAATTTTAACTTGAGTAGCTTGTACAAAGAATGAATAAAGGTGAAATGCTTTCAGAGTTTCAGTTTACTGATGTGTATTACAGATTTTACTAATCTTTACCAGTTGATTTTTTTTCAGCTGTTTTTTCCTTTCTATTGTAAAAGGTGTGGATTTAAGCAAGCCATGAATTTAATATTGATCCATATTATTTAACAATTAAAATATTTAATGCCTAATAAATACTGTCATTGAATTTTGATAAAATCTTGTAACATCAACAAGATCTACAAATTAGATTTTATGTAGCCAGGATATACCTATCCATAAAAAAGTATCACAAATGATAAGGTTATCAGTAAAAGGGTTTCCTTGTTTTAGATAAGAGAAACTAAATTCTTAAAAGCACTTTCCATGTTTTTTATATTTGGCTTTGCTTTTGTGTGTGGATTGCCAGGAGATAGCTACATATCTTTTGTAATCCAGGCTGCTTACCAGTCATTGGTGACTTTTATAGGCAAGGGCAGTAATGGATGGAAATAGTAATCAGGCTAGGGAAGAATGCTACTCTAACCTCGTTTTACAGAGGAGAACCATGTCTGCAATGCCCTTCAAACAAGCGAAAAATATGAAACCCACTTAGTCAGATGTGAGGTGCAAAATCTCCAAGCCTTTTTGGTGGCAAATATACAGGCAGTCCTTCTGCAGTGTATGGAACACATGTACAGTTTGACCAAAATGTGGATCGTTTCGTTGAATGGAAAGCAGAGAGTTCTGGCTAGATCAAATGTGGATCTCAGTATTATAAGCAGGCTAATGCATAATTCATGAGGCTTAATGAATATTCCAATTCATGACAGCCAACTGGCTCCATAGGTCACACCTCCCAGTCTCATATAAATAAAGAATGAGATACTGGAAAGCATACCAGCTGAACCAAACTGAGTGCCAAAAACATGCATATTAATGAGGCACTATAATAGATACTTGACTCTTTGGAAGTGCCTATATTGGTTTCCAGCTACAGAGGGAAAGAAAGTTCACAATGTACCTTTAAACACACCATACTGTGCACCATAAAATACAGCTCTTTCTATGAAATATGGAATCAACTTATACTGATGTGATTTCAGATTCAGTCATTAACTCCATAACATCCTCTGACACTCCATCAACATTGAAACATTCTGGAAAGATCCCCACCCCCTGCTCCCATGTGCCTTTGCAAGTCTCAACTTGGTAACTAGGGAGAGGAAGTCCTTCAACAGTGCCGTTCTTTTATGTGTTCTGTTTAGACCTTGGATCAGGATGAATGGTAGCTCAGATGAATGCATTTGTGCCATTTTTCTTGGCCCCAGACTATGTTTCCTCACTACCATGACATCTGAACAGAAGGAGAAAACATCTCCCTTTTGTAGCAGGCTAATTTAATTTGTACCTTCCACCTAGGGGTAAATATGTTTGTCTGTCTGTCTGAGCTTTTTGCCCACTTTCTTTTCTCACGGGAAACCCTTCTGAGTAGAAAGCAGGAAATTGCTTACTGCTCTAACTTTATTTTAAAGTAATTTAATTTTAAGCCTTCTCACATCCACCCTAAAGTGAAGCAACTGTTGGAACCCCCTCGGGATACCCTTAATGACTTCTGCATGTCTCCTGTGTCACAGATGTCAAAGGCTTGTTGTTTCCAAGGTGTTTTATCTTTTGGTATAGGTGGTTTAAAAGACACTGCTTTGGGCTGTTTTACCCGCAGAAGATGTGCATTTGTTTTAAAATAATGAAGAAAAAAATTCTTGCAGCTTTTACATTGACCCACATCCTTTCAAATCCACATTTCAAGTCATTGATCTTTACTAGATTTTTAGTTGATCTTGGGCATTATTTGTGGCTTGACCTTGTTTGATGTGGAGAATTTGTCAAAGATCTAAATAAGCAACCAACAAACACATCTTTCCCTAAGTAAAATAGCAGTAAAAATGTCTAAGTATTTGATGTAAGTATTGTTACTATGTCTTAAGGTATACAAGATATGGTGAACCTCAAATTAAAATTATGGCTAGTAGCAAAATAATCTACTTATTCATAAAGTTTAAATAGGGCCAAATTTCTTATTTACATTAAATGGATTTATCAAAATGCATTCTGTTTCTCTTAATTCTTGTAATAGTTTTTAAAGCATTTTAAGGGAAAAATTGCTTCTTTTTTCTTATGTTTGTGAGTACACATTTAAATTGAATTCCCTTTTATGGTACTTATATCTCTCTAATAAATATTAAACTTCTTTTAATATTCAGTTCACAATTAATAATTACACATTACAAGAAATAAGACTTATGCTTGACATTGCATTATAAGCACAATTATTTGTTTAGAAGAGAAAAATAATTTTTCTAAAGTTATTTTATTAATTTCTATTTAATATAAAAGATAATTCTTGAATATAATAAAAGATTCCTGTATTGCAATATAAAAGATAGGTATCTTTTATATTCCTATTGTAATACAGGAATCTTTAGCTACCCATGGCCAGACTAATCTTATTTTTTGGTTTCATGCTATAATTTAGATTAATATGCATTTAATTTAATATGAATAATAATTATAATCATGTTAATGATAAAGTTGTATTAATTGAACTTGAATTTTGAATTACATGGAGTTAGTTCACAAGATAGATAAGCATAGTAAAAGGATTTTGTTTTATTGAACAAATATTTAAAATTTCTTAGATTCAAAGCATTTAGGTATTTTTATGTAAAGCTACATCTAAAAATCATATGAAGAGATTTGTGTTTTTTTCTGAAGAAGAATTAATGAATTAATGAGAAAGAATATTACAGTTGGGTATAAGAATTTTTCATTGCTTTCAACAAATATCAGTTTTCACCTCAGATCCATATGTCTTCTAAATATGTTGAATAAATTGCTCAGTTCTAGAATATCCCTAGATGACTTCATTTCTAAGGCATTACTTTTGATAAAGGAGCAAATCTAGTTAGTGTGATTTTGAACGTTTAATTTGTTGCTAGGGAAATTTTTCATGTTTTCAGTACAAATTTTACCAGAAGAGAGCTGTTTTTAGTAAAATGACATGGCATTTCCAACTAAATCCAAAACTGCACATGAAGGCTAGCTACCAGTCCATTAGAATGTAAACCTGGGGTTGGGAGAGTATTTCTGCAAATGGCCAGATAATAAATATTTTAAGGTTTGGGTAGGGGGGCCTCATATGGTTTCTGTCACATGTCCCTCTTTGTTTTGTTTTACAATCTTTAAAAATTTAAAAACCTTACTTAGCTTGAGGGAAATGCAAAAACAGACTACAGGCCAGATTCAGAGATGGCCATAGTTTGTTAACCCCTAATCTAAGGTTTTAAGACTTTGTTTAATGTAGCAAAACATTTTTTCTCAGACATGGTTGTTTTACAGATGCTAATTTCAAGCTCAGGGTTTCTTTCTGAGTTGATTTTATACTGTGCTATGATTAATGCAAGGATATTTTGATCGATAAGGCTCAATACAGGTATTCTAACTGGTGGAATTTAAAAAATATAACTTCCAGTAATTATTCACAACAATCCCAAACTGCTATTATATATCTTACTATACATGATATTCTTTTATTGGGAAATAAATTTGTTGTTGTGATGGTGGTTGGGCATCTGGACAGCTTTCCACAGGACTTTTGCTTTCCCATGTTGTTGCAAAGTGAAAAATTCTATGTAAACATTTCTTCAATTCACTTTAAGGTAAAATAACTAAGATATTACACCATATGTTTTGTACTTTTGAGATTTTTCTTTAACACACATTTAAGGCCAAAGACTTTTAATACTAAATTACCATAAGAGTTTAAATAATTCAGGGTATTTTGCCAACAATTACTCTTAATATACCAGTAAAATGTATATATTTTTAAATTTTCTGACTAATATGATATAGATTGTTCTGACATATTCAAAATAATACGTCTGAAAAGGCAAATCCCTCCTGTTTATAAGAATGACTTTCTTTAAATAAAAACGGTTTAATGATGTGAAGACTACCTTTAAGATATCAAAATGCATAATTCAGCTCACCTTTCCCAGCTTCGCTGTCAAAATAGTGTATATTTAATGATTGGGCTTTTGGGTCAAATTTTCTTGAAATCCACAGCATTTAGATCTTTCCTGCATTGCCTCTCTCGAAGATTCTGTACTCATTACATTCTCACAGTTCTCTCAGTGTCTGGGGATGCAACATGCACCAAACAAGTGCTGAATGTGAAATAAACATTCAGTGCGTGATGGGAGGAAGAGAATTTTGCCTTTAGGCAGGTTGTTATTTTAAACGCAGTGCCAAGGATATTATTTCATTTTACAGCAATACTTAAGCTCTAACATTTTGTCTTAAGACAAAAGAGAGCATGGTCTCATGACCTCAGGGTTGAGCCAAACCAACAGTAGCAATATGAAGACTACTCAGGCCCAGCCAGTGGCGGTTGAGAATGCAAGGGAATGGATCCAATGGAGAGTCTTTACCTTAGAAGTATTATAAGAACCATTTAGCAGCAGGCAAAGAACCATGGACATGAATATTTAGTTGGTGGCTTATCCTGGACCTTTGCTTTTTTTCAGTGAAGGTCACTTTGCACCTATATCTATGCTGGGGATTGCTTTTGGACACAGGGATATTAAAATGAAAAAGATGATCCTTGCCCTTAAGTATGACAGAATTCTCTTTCTTTTTTCTTCATTGGCTTTTTAAAAAAGGACATTTTCAAATCCTACCTTTATGGTTATTATAAAGTGGCCTAAGATCTTGAAGTGTGTGTAGTATATCCCAAGTCTTCTAAATATCGCAGTCTTGCAAGTAATAGCATTTACTGTATTTTTTCTGTAATCGTTAGTGAACTTGATTGTCTCCTGTATTAACCAGAATAGCAGTTTAAAAATCCTCTAATTGGCCAGGTGTGGTGGCTCACGCCTGTAATCTCAGTGCTTTGGGAGGCCGAGGTGGGCAGATCACCTGAAGTTGGGAGTTCGAGACCAGCCTGGCCAACATGGAGAAACCCCGTCTCTACTAAAAATACAAAATTAGCCGGGCGTGGTGGTGCATGCCTGTAATCCTAGCTATTCGGGAGGCTGAGGCAGGAGAATTGCTTCAATCCACGAGGAGGAGGTTGCAGTGAGCCGTGATCACGCCATTGTACTCCAGCCTGGGCAACAAGAGGGGAACTCCGTCAAAAAAAACAAAAAAAAATTTCTAATCTGTATAAAAATGTTGTGTGTAAATCTGTATGTGCACTATTCTATAGACGGGGACCCACAACTGTATTTTGTGTTTCAGAATTCCATGATCCAAAAGAGATTAAGAGACAATGAATTTGACCAAATATTTCTGAAAGACAGGGACTCCTTAACAAAAAAAATTAGAATGTCAGTTTCCTTATTTACCATGAGAAATATATAACTATAAAAATACTACATTTTTGAGTTTGTAGTTTATAGTATTGTACTATAGGTATATTAACCAAGGAATTGAAATTATAATTATCCTCTGTGTAAACTTTTATGTCTCAGCAATTTCATTCCAAAGTATTTTCTTAATGACTTAAATGAGACTTGTGATGTTTTGTTTCAAATTGTGTTTTATTAACAGTGACAAAATAGTATAAAATCATATTACCTTTGAAAGGTGATCCTTTCTAAATGCTCAAAAAATATTTGTCAGTAATGATGAGTGGCATTAAATAAAAACCTTTGTTATCTATTGTAAACTTTTAACATAAGACGGATATTCTTAGCTCTGGATGCTGTTTAAAAGGGATATTTTAAGCCCAATATTCATTGGGGTACAGAGAGAAAGCCTTGTCACTGGAGTGCAAGCTCTGTGAGGGAAGGGACATATTTCACTCATTTTAATAAGCTCAATATCTAGCACTATATTTTAGACACAGTGGGACCAAAGCAAAATCCTTTTGGCTTATTGAATAAAAGAATGAATAAAGATGTTCTGCCTAAAGAAAAAAATTAGATGGAACTTCTGAGTGAATTTCAAGTTCCCACAGTGAAATTTGGATATTCATTTGAAGCGGAATACATTCTCTGGAATGTCTTTATCTTTTAAAATTCTGCTCATACAGTAAGACAAAACAACAAAAAGGCGATAAAATGAGTGAAATACGTGCCTTCCCTCACAGAGCTTGCACTCCAGTGACAGGGCTTGCTGTCCTGTTCTCCAATGCATATTGGGCTTAAAGCATCCCCTTTAAAGAGCATCCACAGGTAAAAATATCTGTCTTATGTTAAAAATTTACAATAGATAGGCCAGGCATGGTGGCTCACACCTGTAATCCCAGCATTTTGGGAGGCCGAGGTGGGTGGATCACCTGAGGTCAGGAGTTCAAGACCAGCCTGGCCAACATGGTGAAACCCCATCTCTACTAAAAATACAAAAATTACCTGTGTGTAGTGGCATATGCCTGTAATCCTAGCTACTTGGGAGGCTGAGGCAGGAGAATTGCTTGAACCTGGGAGGCAGAGTTTGCAGTGAACCAAGACTGCACCACTGCACTCCAGCCTGGGCGACAGAGCAAGACTCCATCTAAAAAAAAAAAGTTTACAATAGATAAAAACAAGCAAACAAAAGGCAACAAATTGCAAATTGAAACACAATGAAAACATCTCAAATCCCCTTTGATATGGTTTGGATCTGTGTCCCACCAAATCTCATGTCAAATTGTAATCCCCAGTGCTGGAGGTGGGATCTGGTGGAAGGTGATTGGATCATGGGGGTGAATCTTTCATGACTGTTTAGCACTATCCCCTTGGGGCTGTTCTCTTGATAGAGTTCTCATGAGATCTGGTTGTTTAAAAGTATGTAGCACCTCCCCACTCACTCTCTCTTGCTCCTGCTCTTGCCATGTAAGATGTGCCTGCTTCCCCTTCACCTTTTGCCATCATTTAGTTTCCCGAGGCTTCTTCAGAAACCAAGCAGATTCCAGCATCATGCTTTCTGTACAGCCTGCAGAACCATGAGTCAATAAAACCTCTTTTCTTTATAAATTTCCCAGTCTCAGGTATTTATAGTAATGCAAGAACAGACTAATACACCCCGCCTCTTTGAAATATCCCTAATAGCTTCAGCTGGAAGTGATTCTTCCCTGCTTTAATATCATATAGTATTGTGAATTTCTCTCAATGCATTTTTTTCTTACTTACCATGTGTTAGATTTAATTATGCATGTAGCTGGCCCAGCTGAAGCCTCCTGCTTCCTCTGCCATCTTGGTAGATTTGACTAGAACTCTAAGTTCCAGAGCCTATGACTGGTCAAATTAATCCAACTTTCATGGATTTCTGAGGGTTTTTGTTTTGATAAGATACTGAGTACTGCCTCCTCTATCTTTGCCTGCTCTGACAGCTGCTTGTGATATCTCTTTCACCCTGAGCCAAACTGAGCTTAAAATTTATTTCTTTCACTGGTTTCCACAAAGATCCACACACATATAGCTTTAGGCAAATTGAAAATATTCCACAGACTAACTGAAGGTAATGGAGAGGTAGGCTTGTCATCTTATAATTTTTTATCTTGAACCTTTTCTTGAATCTCTGCTCCTCTTTCCCTCCCTCAAAGATTTCCTCCACCTGCAGTTGCGTGTTCATCTTATCTATGATACAAAACAGCTTCCTCTTCCTTCCATGCCCTTTTCCTGCTGACCCTCAAACTTAGAACACCTATCAATGCATTTTCCTGGAGAAATATAACCCTGTGCCTCAGAAGAATTCTGGTGTCAGTTGCTCAAGTCATTGTACTTTCAGCCCTGTGCATGTAAACTTATCCTTTATTTGTATTTCTCATCTGCAAGCTTCTTAGGGCTTTATGTGGAGCTTCTCAACAATATCTTGCATAGATATAACACAGTCCATTAAGTGTGTTTGCATTTGCTGCCTCCTTGGATCCTTCAAATAACTATGTAATTGACAAAGATATCCTACTTTAAAGCAACAATTACTGTCCGAAACAGGTTAAATGAACTTTTACAAGGTCATATGACTTAATCAACAGTAGAGCAAAAATTAGACCCAGGTCTTAGATGTCACATTAAGAGCATTCTCTTACATCAAGCTAAAATTAATGTTAGCTGGATAAATGAATATTTAAATATAGTCACCAAAATACATCTACAGCCAAATGAATGTGGTAATTGAAAAAAAAATTTGATTTATTCATTCTCTACCTTCCTTTAGTGTAGATAATAATTACTTCACTATATCAATACCAAAATCCACACACGTGGCACAAAAGAAAACGAATGCTTATAAGTGAATATAAAATCACTTTCAGATTTGTTTATTTTCAATGCCAGCTAGTGCCAGAATATTTTTGGTACGGTCAGAGTAATCAAGCTTCTACAAACAGCATGTAGAGATTGATAGATTTTTAGATATTGGCATATGTACATTTATAGCTATTGACAAAGCTTAACTCTTTTCAAGAACATTCCAACTAATATTGGCATTCTGTTTTATCCATTGACACTCAACATGATGTACTGTGGAAGACTTTAAGACTTTCAGTGTTTGACTAAGCTTTACAGTCATTAATGTTTAATCGCTTACAATTCAGAAAGCATTGTGCTTTCATTTTTTATGTGGCTTGTTTATCTATGTAAAGTAAATCAACAGTGCCTTTCTGATAGTCTCCCAGTACATTTATAATCAGTCCCATTTGATGATTGGTGATGAATATGGATACAACTGCTATTTGGAATTACTTTATCATTCTATACAGATTCTAAATTCAATTTTTTTTCTTTAAAACAATTATAATACATGGAAATACCAGCCAAAAATTCCAAAGCTATGAATATCTTGGGGAGGGGCAACGATAATGTGCTACTCAAAATGTCTGGTATTGGCATGCAGCATTTCTAGCCTATAAATAAGAAAATAGTTACATTAAAACATCTCTTGGACTAAAGAGTTTTTAGCTATTGAGAGAGTCAAAATTCTGTGATGTCCATCCTTAAGGGCAAACAAACTCATTCCTTGGAATGGTTATCCCAAGGAAACAATGAAGAGATCTTGAACTACAGCTCTGTACATGCCACTGCAATGAATGCACACCATTGTATCATCATCATCAGGGCACTAGTGAGAGACAAAATGCTCTTGGCCAAGGTTGGGGGAAACAGGGACACAAAGAACCCAATTCAAGCAAAGCATAGTGGGTAGTGGACACATTTGTAGAATTTTAACAGATTCCTGGCATTTGTATTTACTCTTTGTTTACATTTAGGCTTTTAGCAGAAATACCGAAGTGATTTTGCAAGTCCTTTTGGTATACTGAAAAACTGGAAATGTAGATAAAAGATAATGTATTACTTAAGAAAATGTATTAAAGTTCTCAGAAAATTTTTTTAAAACTGGCTTCTAAAGAAGCTAAGAAACAATAGAAAACTATTCAGATAACAAATAAAAATGTCGTTTCCTTTTTACAGCTCTGCAAATGGAAAAATACACTTCTATTATTCCTGTTCATGAAACTGGCCTGAAGTGTGAACAAACAAGCCACAGCCAAGTTGACAGATACTCAGTTATACTTTATTACAGCCAGTGTCCTACAATCATGTCAGATATCATATTCCGCATTCACCTGTCTACATCTTCAAGAAAAAGGATTCTTACGTACAGCTTTTAAAAATACAAGTCTGAATTGATTCTTTCTTTTGTGCCATAGAGTTTGAATACGTCCTCATCCTTTACACATGCAATTCATGGTCACAGAGAACAGCAGGAAGATGTGGCAATAAGCAGTTCAGAAAATTGATTGCATGTGACTTTTGAGAGAATAAGGCAAAAGGCTGAAGCCAAAGTGGCTTCGTGCCTACCTAAAGGGACAGCCATGAATGAATTGCCTATAGGGGATGGCACATCTGGTCTCCTACCATCCTTACCAGATTTGGCTGGTGACTACCGCTACCTCTGGCATTGTCTGACTGCCCCCACTTTAGCCTCAGTGCTTAGAGCTATCTGGGAAGTCAGCTGCCAAGGTTAAACATAAGGTCCATTCTTGGAGGCCATCCTCTGGGCTCCAAGGCTGATTTCCCCGGGGACTTTATAAGTGGCAACACCTTACTTCATGTGCTTGCTGCTTTACAGATGTATGTTCTTGAGTCATGTCTATGACTTCTGATGTATGCCAGTCATGGATTAAATTTTTCTGTTTTCATCCCCTGGGAAGGTAACTCTCAAACTTGTATGTATCAGCAACTACTGGGAGTTTGTTAGAAATTCAGGTTCCCAGGCTTGAATAGGTCTGGGTGGGATCCAGGACATCACTGGACTTTATTTTGTGAAATTACTCCCCGGACCCTGTAATCTATGCTAATTATGATAAAGAAATACATATTTTAAAAAATTCTTTTTTAAAATGAATTTAGGAAAAGCAACATCAATTATCTGAAGTACTGGCAAATGACTCAGATAATAATTAAATCTTTACCCATTATAGACTAAAATATTGATTGAAGTCACATGAAATTAATTTCATTTTGTATAAGGATGAGGTTGTGGAGGACTTTTCTTTGTTTTGAAGGGGACCCTGATTTGGTAAGAGCCATCCTTTTATGAGAGAAACTCTCTAAGGAAGCAATGTCTATGGCACCAGATTATCGCTGTCTCACTAATCACTCAGCAGTACTGATGAGGAGTGATTTTTTTTCTTGTTTGTTTGTTTATCTGCTAGGCTAATATAGGGCTTGATGGCTGATTTAATTTTTATTTCTTTTATTACTAGAGAAGTTAAATATTTCTTGTGCTAATTTATCATTTATTTTTCTGCCTCTTTAGATTTTATTGCTTATTTTTGCACACTTTTTCACTTTCCATGGAGGTGTTAGAGTTTCAATTATTGGTTTGAAAGAGGTCTCAATATATTAAGGATATTAACCCTTTATTATATGTCTTGAAAATTTTGTTACTCTTACATTTTAAAAAGACATTGCAGATGTTTACCAAGATGAAGTTTTGGAAACATTGTCAATACATCAGTCAGGCAGTAACCATCAAAAGTTAGAGTTTCTGCACAAATTGAAACAACCTATTTTATACTCTTGTTACATGGTTTTATTTTTTGCACTCTTTTTGTCAGATTTGTAATTAAATACCATTAAAATGTTCTAGAGCAGGTTTGCTAATATGAGAATTAACTCTTCTGTAAGTTTGAAGAAATCTTGAGAAAATCATTCTGGCTCTGGAATCTTTTGTGGAAGAATATATATTCTGTAACCCATACTTTTAGTAGCTGAAAATATTGTAGGTCTACTTGTGCAGTCTTACATTTTGGCTGACTATCGTTTGGTTCATTTGGTTCTGCTTTTAACAGTGGCAGTTTCCCAGTGCTACCAACTCGGGACTTCTTTAAATTAATTTTTGACATCCTTTTTGTGGGGAGGGGAAGGGCATACATATCATGTTCCAGCCATCTATTACTACATTAAAATGACCACAAAACCTAGTAACTTAAAACATATATATTTTGCTCATCATTTTGTGGGTCAGAAATTCAGGAAGGGTTTATATGGGTAGTTGGCCTCTGATTCCCATGGTGTCACCTAGGGCAGCTAAAGCTGGAGAAACAACATCCAAGATTTTTTTTTTTTTTTTAAATTTCCACAAGACTCTAGGACCTCTCCATGTGTTTTTTTGCTTCTCACAATGATGGTCTCAGAGCAGTTGCTCTTCTTTAATGGCAATAGACTTCCAAAAGATAGGAAGCAGAAGCTTCCAGGCCAATCAATGGTGATATCCAGGACTGGAATAACTTCACCACTGGTAATCCTATTGGCTAACATAGTTACAGGGCCTGCTCAGATTCAATGGGTCAGAGAACTAGACTTGACCTCTTTTTTTTTTTTTTTTTCAGACGGAGTCTTGCTCTGTCGCCCAAGCTGGAGTGCAGTGGCTGATCTCGGCTCACTGCAAGCTCTGCCTCCCGGGTTCAGGCCATTCTCCTGCCTCAGCCTCCTGAGTAGCTGGGACTACAGGTGCCTGCCACCACGCCCAGCTAATTTTTTGTATTTTTAGTAGAGATGGGGTTTCACCATGTTAGCCAGGATGGTCTCGATCTCCTCACCTGGTGATCCACCCGCCTTGGCCTCCCAAAGTGCTGGGATTGCAGGCGTGAGCCACAGCGCCCGGCCTAAACTTGACCTCTTGATGTGGAAGTGCTCAGAAGAACATGTGGGATGGGAGATATTGTTGCAGTCATGTTTAGATAATATTCTGTCACAGAGAATATGACTTCCTGCCCCTCATTCATGTGAGGTTGGGCTTGTTTTTGTGAATTCTTAGAGAAGACTGAGGTGAGATACTCTTTCTCACTATCTTCCTTAAAGGCGTGAGTATTTTTCTAATTTAATCCTGAAGGTGATCACCATCATGACTTATCTTGACTGTAGTAATGTTCTCCTAATTTACCTTGGTGCTCCCACTCATGACACATTGTCCATTCTCCATTCAGCAACCAGAGTGATCTTTTAGAAAACCATATTATTTACTGCAATTCTTCTACTCTAAAGCATCTAGTAAAGCCCCATTATACTCGGAATAAAATTCTTTCAAGGACATATATGCTGTCAACTTTGATCACTAGCTGCCTCACACAACTTCTCAAGGCATAGTGGCCTTCTTATTGTTCATAAAATAACCCAAATGCACTTCAGCACCAGGGCCTTTGCACTTGCTATTCCACTATCTTCCCCTAGGCTTATCTTGCATGATTCAACCTATCATTTCACTGAAGTCTCTGCTTGAATTAGAAATTCCTTAGAGCAGTGGTACCCAACCATTTTGGCACCAGGGACCAGTTTCATGGAAGACAATTTTTCCACGTATGGACAGCAGTGAGTTGAGGAGGGATTTCAGGATGGAATTGTTCTACCTCAGAGCATCAGGCATTTGACTCTCATAAGGAGCGTGCATCTTAGATCCCTTGCATGCAGAGTTCACAATAGGGTTTGTGCTCCTGTGAAAATCTAATGCCACCACTGATCTGACAGGAGGCAGAGCTCAGGCAGTAATGCTTGCTTGACAGCCACTCACCTCCTGCTCTGCAGCCTGGTTCCTAAGAGGCCACAGACTCCTGCCTTAGAGCATTTTAAAAAGAATGTCTACCCATGTATTATTCTGCTTCACTTTTCTCAAAGCACTTTCTATTGCCTAACAATTCTGATATAATATGTAATTTGTGATTTATTATATACATTGATTTATCTTCTTATGTTATATTCATAAGAAGTGTCCCTAGTTCCTAAAATATTTGTTAACAAATGTATAAACAGATCAAAAGGAATAAAATTAAATTCTATATAATCTCTTATGGTCTTTAACTTCAAGTATTACCAATTTGAGATAATATCAACACAAAAGGGAATGGGAGAAGAAGTGTGAAGATCCTGAGTATAAATTTATGTTGATGCCTTGAAACTCAGTCTATTATATCTAATGTAATTATAAAAAACATATGTTATAAAAAATAGTAAAATTACACACATTAATAAAAACTGGTGATAATAATGAATGTTATCTTAACAATTCATTAGCATCTACTTGATAAGATCATCAAGATGATTTTTAGCAAATAATTCTTTCATTCTTTGTGTACCTGAACTCCTCTTTGTCAGTTCACTGCTCTGGGCACTATCCACGCATCTGCTAAAAGAGGCTATTGATTATACAATTATAGCTCAATTGTTACTTTTGTTTAAAATGATCTCCACCTCTCCCATAGCTTATTGATATAAGCTATTTCCCAGAAGCAAATTGTAATCTAATACTTGACCTTGGGCTTCTGAGGCTATTCAGATTCTTGCTTGTACTAACTCTTTTTATGATCGGCTTTTTTCAGCTCATCAAATATAAATTGATTTTCTGAAGTTACTGAATATTTAGATAGTGGTAAAATGGCTGCGTTTTCTGACAGTTTACTATTTATCTTTATGTATGAATGTGAGATGTTGTAGATAAAATATTAAAGAAATCATCTCTTTCATTTATACACACATATACATATCTAGTTCTGCATTTTTGTCAGCTAATGAATGCTGTTACTATTCCCTTCTATGAACTCTGTCTCCTCTAAACCCCCTATTTGATTGCCTTTATTATTCATTTTATACGTAATTGTCTTCTGTTAAATATAGTTGCTATGTATTATTTTAACTAGATAGTTCTTTAAGGGCAGGAATCATGCTTCACTCTTCCTAATTGATATCCTCCAATGCCCTGTACAATGTCTAAGGTGGTGTCTAACATGTGATAGGCAGTCAATATTTTTCTTGAGCGATTTGAGTTTGATCTGTAGTTTTGTGTCCCCATGATTCTGTCATTACTGCTACTGATATGATACTATTAATAATAATAAGTATTTATATTTGAGTGATGATTCTTATTTACCAGGATAATACAAAATGCTTTCAATACATTTTTTAGCCTGAATCTCACACCAACTTTATGATGTAGCATCCTTTTACAGTTGAAGAAACTAAGCCTTAGAGAGGCTGGCACTGAATACATAGCCTTTAAGTCTTGGTCAAGCTCTGATTACAATGCAAAAGGCTAATAGGGTTCATGAAACTAAACACTCAAGTTTTTTTCCTGAACGCTTGAACCCTGTGTCTCTAAAAAGAGAGTAGACTAATAAATAAGGATCTTGACACATACTGATTTTTCATGATTCTGATGAACTGTTTCTTTATCTTCTCTCTTCTTTCTCAGCTTTCATGTAAAACAGAAAATTGTTGTTTTACATCTTGAGAATGATATAGTACATAAATCAGGAAAAGGAATAAGAAGTCAATATACAAATAATAGTGTGATAATAAGCATTAATAAAAGCTAATTTGAAGATTAAGTCTTTCCCCAAAACCCTGAGTGATAAAAGAGTAATGGGTTAGCTTATGATAGGCAGATTAAAATTGTTTTTAAAGAATTTTAATTAAAGTTGTAATCTTTTGGCATTTTTCATGGCAATACTCACAAAATAAAACAAGGACAACCTCAAACATGAAACACATAGCCTTCTTTAAATCAGTAAGCTTATTTAAAATGTTCCTTTTATTGTGAATGTAATAAAATATCTTTGCATCTTTCCAAGTGTGTTTTTCCTACCCCAGGGGAAAACCACTTTGAAGAAAGCAGCAAATTATTTTGTATACTACATCCAAGGCTACTGAACCAGAAGAATAAGGACATACTGCTTGTGAGTTCAGCTGGATCAATAGCTCAGCCCTGGGATTTGCCTGTCTGCTGGATACTGGATGGAAAGCACTAAGCTGCCAGTTTGTACTGTGCGTATTTAAGACCCCAATACAGCCAACTGACATTTTTCATAAGACAGAAAGTAACTTACCTGTAAAAATGTTTAGACGTATGAGCACATATAATACAAAGACTATGAAATGTCTTGGCACACTATGTAGGAAATTTTCCCTTGTTGTCATCCTATTACTCAAGAGAAAGAGCACACACACACACACACTCACTCACACTTTCACACACACACAGACACACGCACACTTCTGTATCTAAAAATATGTATTTGTAGAATGCCTCAAAGCACTCCACAGACAAGACAAAACCCGTTCTTCCATCTTTTTCCTGCTAGAAAGCATTACACAGCTGGCCAAGCAGGCTCAGAAGCCAGTTTTCTTCATCTCTTACTTTCTTGACTACACTCTCCACCACTGTAGACTATCTGGGTGCATAATGTGTGATGTGTGTGCAATTTGACGAGTCATTACATCAGAGTTCTGATGAGGACTCATTCCTGTCATCTTTTATGCCATTTCTAGTTTTTCCTCAGTAAGCATCCATGTAGGTCCTAATATCATAGTAGCAAGATATTCAAGCAGGCCTATTAGACAGGATGAAATTATCTGATATCTCACTAGAAGATACTAGAGACAGGCTTTTCTGCTGAGCTTGAGAGCTTTGTGGTACTGTCACTGTTCTGAACATAAAAGAGTCTCCAAAATGGTATTTCAAAACTGCCATGAGAAAAGAGGCACTACAAACAAAGGAATTAAAAATGAAAAAATAAGTAATGCAGCTAAAAAACAGATATGCACTGAGGCAACAAAAAGTTTTAGGCTGTTGGCTATACTTATCATTCTGTCCTTTCCATCCATACTCAGAGCAGAAGCTTGCAATCCAGAATGATAGGATAAGTGAAAGCTTTCAACATCTATTCAGGCTCAGTTGTCATTGTGAGGATCTAGGAGTGTTTTCCTGGCACATGGCCCAGCCAGGGTCAGCAAGAGAGGGAGAGTTGCCACTTGAATCTCTTTGTCATTGCAAAGTGGCCCTTGCCTTTGGTATTCCTCTGACTTCAGCTTCTGCTTCAAGCAGTGGTACAGTGACTAAACTGAAGGAAATAAAAAAAGAATAATAATCTTTGGTAAGACAACTCCTTCCACTGTAGAGAAAAGGAAAATTCTGCTTTGATTTGACAAATTGCCTGTGCATTGGGCCTGATAATAAACCAAGGAAGTCAGGAGGAATTTTTTCTTCTTCTCTCGCTCTTTGTTTCTCTCTTTTTTCTTTCATAGGTGCTTTGATACCTTTTAGGAAGTGATTAGTAAAAATTTGCTATACCTGTCCTGAGAAAGTTATTTTGAGTCACATAGCTCTCATTCTTTCTCTCTACTCAAGATGTCTTTTCAAGTAGAAGCATACCTGAATGGCCTCTGTGCAGCATGACCAAATGGTTAATGTAGCACAATCTCTGTAACCAATCAAATGTGAGTCCAGTTTTTCACTCACACTGTTAAGCTGTATGAGGTTGGGTAAATTGTGTCATGTCTCCAAGCCTTAAATTTCTCCTCATTAAATTACCAGTAATAATGTTTATATTATAAAGTGGTTGTGGGGATTAAATTAGAGACTGATGTGGTTTGGTTGTGACCCTACCCAAATCTCATCTTGAATTATAGCTCCCATAATTCTCACATGTTGTGGGAGGAACCTGGTGGGAGATAATTAAATCATGGGGCAGTTTCCCCCATACTGTTCTGGTGGTAGTGAATAAGTCTCAAGAGATCTCATAGTTTTATAAGGGGAATTCCTTTCACTTCAATCTCATGCTATCTCTTGCCTGCCACCATGTAAGACATGCCTTTAGCCTTCCACCAGGGTTGTGAGGCCTCCTACGCCACGTGTTACTATGAGTCCATTAAATCTCTTTTTCTTTATAAATTGCCCAATCTCAGGTATGCCTTATCACTATGTGAAAAGGAACTAATACAGATACCGTATCTAAATAGCGAAATTCAGTGTCAGGCATTAATTAAGTCCTTAGTAAATGGTGAGCGATTGGTATTTCTTGATGGTCCAACATTGTTCTTTTCCCATCACCAATGAAAAGCTTTTAAGTCAGTGGATTGCCAAAAATTGTTTTGCTCATGGGAAGGGAACATTGATCTGTGTAACGTGACTGTTTGTAAAAGTTTCTCCTCACAGCTACAGTTTACACGGGATTTTGCGCCTTCATTTAGAGTATATCATGATAGGAAACAAGGAAAGGCACAAAAAGACAAACAATAATGGAAATTTAAAAAGAAAACAAGTTGAAAATAATTTCTAGGAATGGGGAAGAATAATGTGTAACATAAAATGTTATCTTATTAAAGAGCCAGTTCTATACTGAAGCACATGGTGTGGAGGTTAAAAACAAGGAGTAAAGATTTAGACACAACTAGCTTCAAATTTTGCCTATAACACCTACCATTTGTGAGACCATGGGTAAATCATTCACCTTGTCTGACTTTACAGTTTTTTCCCTTTGCGTCAGTGATATTAGAACATTAACTACTTCAGAAAGTGTTGGAAGTATTAATGAAGGATACTTTACATTGATTAAACTAAGAACTTTCTTCTCTACCTTCTCTTTTGAAAATAATAACCCTAAATACCCTGTGTAACCCAGCTCATTCAGTCACTCAACACTGTAAAATAAAGATGTACACAGTGTTAAAAAAGTGGCTATATAAAAACATATTCAACACATTTAGGTATAAAGTTATTTAAATATAATCTTAATATTATGTGTTCTATTATTTGTTTAAATTCTCCAAACAAAATGAAATGTTCAATTTAATATTAAATGTGAGGGTACAGTATTTCAAGCCTTCAACCACCATGACATTGTGTTTTCACAAATGAATTTTAAAGTCTATCCAAAGCAACTAAACAAAGGTATTTGTACCGACACCCATTTCAACACGGTTGTTGACTGAGCATGGACTGTTTGATTTTATTGGGAAGTGGGATTGAGGTTGTAAGAAACAACCAGCTCATCAATACTACAAAACATTGTTTTTTAAGTGAACTGCAAATTGTGCTGAGCTCAAATACTATTTAGCCCAGTAAATGCTGTATAAAGTAAAGCTTTTTTTATCATGCTTTCAAATATCTGGAAGAAAAATGCTATAAATAATAAAAATATTTTAAATGGAAAGCATTGCAAATTTCTACCTCAGGCCATATCTAAAGAGTGAGCACTAGAAATAAGAGTGTTTCAAATAGACTTTATTGTTTTGCTTTATGGATAGTACAGTGATTTTTTTTAAGGGTAAAACTATAGAAAATGGCCATTAGCATTCTAGTTATCTCTTAAGTTACCTGTTATCTTTGGAAGTACAAAAAATTTTTATAGAACTACTAATGTCAGTATAGGTTTTAGGCATAGGAAATGATTAGATTTGATTACAAAGACTTGAGCCTTACTTTAGTTAAATAAAAAACTTCAGTAGTAAGTTGTAATGGGGATAATAACATTTTCTGCTTGTTATTCCAAGTCTCTCTAATGAAACTTCTATTTCTAATTGATAACACATTTTCAAGCAGCCAGCAAAATATCACAGAAAACCTTTTCTATATTAACAAGACACATTCCAATTCTACAGAAATCATTTTTGATCATTTAAAACAAATATTCTAGTTTAGTTTTAAACTGGCATCATTTGAGGGGGAATTAGGAGTGTTTGTTTAGATCAGCTGACATTAAAAATAGGGAGATCTGAAAATAAGTCATAAATATTTTACAATAAATGTAATTAACTTTTCTCAATTATTTTTAGTTATATTGATAATTTAGTAGGAAAGTGCTGCATGATAATTATAAATATAAGCCAAGTGTTCTTGGGATTTCTGGTAGCCATTACAAAGCAAACCTTTTTAAAATGTCAGTTTGATCACCAGTATCCAAACATGTATCATGGCTAAATGTGGTGACTGGAATTTTTCAACTTAAAATTTCCCCACATGCTATGGTTTTACCTCTCTGTTCTCTTACATTATGTGTTTTATTAAAAGAGCCAAAAGCGTTCCCCTAAAGTCCATCTCCCAAATTCTCTTACATTTTGGTTGCTTTAGGGATCTTAATCTGATACAGTTAGTCTATAAAGATGATGCATTTCAGTATAAAGAGTTGATATCCCTGCTTCTGATGGGACACTAAAGAGAGGACAATCCCTACCCTGAATGTTCGCAGATGTCTTCAGTCTATCTGTGGCTTCCATAGTGTCATGATAGTTACCTTCCTCTCACTATATCTAGATAGTTTTATAATCCTCCACTCTGAATTTTGACCTTTAGTGAAGAGCCTGGCTTTTAGTCCTGATCTCAGGTTCTTTCTTCTCTCTCTAGAATGAAAGTAATTTTCTCTTTTGTCTTCCAGTTAGGTGGGAACTTGCCTCTGCCATGTTACTTTTTTCTCCCATTACTTTGTTTGAAATCCCCTTCTTTAAGCATTCTGGCTTGCTGTTAGTAAGAGAAAAAGTACGGATTTAATGTTTTCAAAATCTTATCCCCAAAATATTATAAAAGTGCCTGATATTGAGATGGGTTCTAGAAAACCAAGAAGAAAAGGCATATCTCCTGACTTCAAAGAGGTCACTCCTTACTGACCAGACAAGATTGATTGGGGGCACACTAGAAGGCTTATAGTAGAGAGCAGTGACATGGAAGGCTTTTCAGGGGTAGCATTTCAGTTGAGACCTGAGGAGTTTTCTCCTAAATTTTCATTCTAGGCAGAAGGAACCGAATTTCAAAAGTGCGGAAGGCATAAGAGAGCATGGGGTATGTAGGAAATGAGTTCAGTGCGTCTGGAGCTTAAAGCATGAAGGGGAAATGATTAGAAATGAATTTGGATAGATAGGCAGGGCCCCTTCATAAGGTTTTTAGTATGTCATGGAGTCTGTTGTCATTAGAAGCCTCTGAAGTGTTTGGGGGAGATCAGATTTGCACACTAGAAAGAGCTCTCTAATAGTAGAATGAAAGGTAAGTTGAAGGTAAGGGTTGGAATTGGGTGGGGAAAATTAGATTTCGAGAGACCAGGAAGGAAGTCTGATCTGAGTAACCCAGTTGTGTGCTGATGACTGTCAAAACAGGGTAGATGTGAACTTTTTGGCAAGGTGGAATTGATAGATTCAAGGGTTAACTGTGGAAGTTAAGAGTGAGGAAACATTAATGATAAAGTATTGTATATTTCAAAATTGCAAATAGATTTTAAATGTTTTGACTATAAAAATGATAAGCATGTGAAGTGATGAACATGTTAATTAGCTTAATAGAATAATTTCACAATGTACACCTATTTCAAAACATCACATTGTACCCCATAAGTATGTATAACTATTATTTATAAATTAAAAATAAAACAAAAATAAATGAATAAATAAGAAGTTTTAAAAAAAAACACTGCTTTACTCTTCAAAAAATAAAAAAGAGGAATGAGACTGACTTCTAGGATTCTGGCTCAAACACTGAGTAGATACCTTCATTTCCCTTAAGATTCAGAATAAGTGAGGGGTTGTTGGGGCAGATTTGGTGGGGGAGGGGACTGAGATGAGTTTGGCATTGGATGTCTAGAATTCCATGTACATATGAAAGGACCCAGTGGCAGATAGAAGACTGATAGCTACCATGATACATATACTTATTTTTAATACCTATTGGCTGAGTTCTATAATTTAATGGTTATGATAAAGCTAAGACAAAAATCTCATCTCTGATTAGAATTTGTTAGAGTTGTAATTTTATACAAACTACATAATCTCTCTGAACCTTAGTTCACTCTAATAGATGTAATTCTAACTTTATAGAATTGCCACAGGCTTGTTATTGTGTAGAGCCTAGCAGAGAGCGTATACATAGTAGGTACATAAAATGTTATAGCTATTACTATTAATAAAAGGAAATTAGGGCAAGAGGAAGAAAGCACATCTTTGTTGTTTTAATCTGATGATTTCAGAATTTAAAGGTTAAATTTTTTCCTATATGTTGGTTTATTGCAACAATACATTTCTATGATATTATTCTGGAGTCTTCATTTGCATGTGATAGAAACCAATGCAAAGTAGTCTTAGGAAAAATAAAATCCACGGGCTCATGTAACCAGTGAACTCAGTGTGGGATTGCATTTGGCTTCTGTGGACCTAGAGACTCAAACAATGTTGTCAGGCTGCTCTAGCTCTCTTGCTCTGGCTCTAGCTCCCCTTCTCTCACTTGTTCTTCTCTGCTTCTTGTAAAGTGGTCTCCTTCCCTCCTATGCAGAGAGACACCCTCCATGTAGGTAAGGAACACACTCACCACCGGTTCCAGGTTTACATCATTCCAACTTGACACAGTGGAAAGAAAGTTGCTGTTTCCTGACATTTGTGATTAAATCTGCTGGGATTCCCCCTCACCCCCAATCACAGTCCAGCCAGCTTTCCTCAGGAGCACTAAACCCTAAAGCATCCATTGCATGAAGTAAATGAACTTGTCTCTTTTGCTTCTAAAATGGTGCAATTTTGTCACCTGAATTATTTTTTTCTGAGTTCTGTGGCCCAGGTGAGGAACTCTGAGAAAAGCTGGGTGCGCATGTGGTGAATGCACAGGCCAAGGTTAGAGAGATAATGAGAAATATGAGTTTGAGAAATCTTCTTGCATATCCAAAAAAACAATAAATACCACCTATGCTTAGATGATGACATTTTAGAGAACACTGCCTGTGTGCCTCGAAGAACATTGATGTGTTGGTTTCTCCTGTAAAGATTTCCTGCCACCCTCCACCCCACAAGTGAAGCTGTTATCATCCCTACCTCCCCAGGCACAGAGGAAGCAGGGATACGCCAAGTACATTCTTCTGGCTGGCTTCCCAGGTCCTCTTCTTGAGCTCTTTACTGAAGCGCCTCAAAAAGCGGGGGGAGAATTTTGAGGTGAAAAAGTAGTAATATTCTGTTGGTTGCCAGAGTAACTTTCACGCTGTGCCACAAAATGTCCCTTGGTGCCACTGTCAGAGCTGTAATAAGGCTCATTTGTCAGTTCCAATGTGACATTTCTTATGTTTCTATATAATGCTTCTTAGATTATGATCCTTAGACAATAATCATTGTCAGCGTGATCATCTTTGAAAACAAAGGAAAACATGAACATCCAATGCCCCAAATCTGAACTGTTCTATTTGCTCTAAGCAGTGTGCGCCTACTAAGGTGTTAGCCTGCTGTCTTCAGCGTCCTTTCAGTGACTAACGTGATTGACTATTCTTCTGCAATCAAAGAGGCCCAGATTTTACTTCACTTCTAGGGCTGTTGGACTGGCCTTCCTTTTTTCTTCTGTGTATATGTGTGTGGCAGGTTTTTGCTAAGAAAGCTATTACCCCTTTGATTTTGTTTTAAAATTTACAAAGCCCATTAGGCAAGAACTGCAGATTTTGCCAGATCCTTGGTAAAAGGCAATCATCGCTGGTCAGTTTCCTTCATTGATACTTGCATAAACAAAGAGGATGCTTTAGCCCAAATTATGTTGTCTTGTTTGCTCCTTCACCTTATGCTAAAAATCCCAATTTTAGAGATAAAAAAATCCAAATCAAGATAACGTCCCAGAGGTCAGTTAGCAGGTAGTGATTTCTAGTTTGTTTTATTTTTAAATAGCCTCTTTTAAAGAAGGTAAATCACTTGTAGCCAGTCTGTGTCAGTCAACTGAGAAAAGCTGACAAAATGAATCCAATAATAGAGTTTTTCATATATAATAGAGACTCTTTTTGTATAAAAGATCTAGCTAATTTATACTAAAGCTTTTGTGTGGATATTTAATTATTCAGATAATTACCTTAATTTGCCAATGGAAATTCAGCTATGCCTAAATGGCGTTAAGTTTGGGAATATAGGCCAGTGCTTTTCATTTTGTTTTATTACCTTACTCAGAACATTGGTTTGTTCAATCTTCTATTGTTCTTTTTACACTTTTATTCCAGGTTAATTTATTTTTACAGCTCCAAATAGCGCCTTTGTGTGAATAAAGTCTAAACCACGGATAATTTCAATTTTATCTTCTCAGACAATATCAATTCTCATCTTTCTAGATGTCTACTGGACATTTCCTTTTAAATAGCTCATCACAATCTTGAGGTCCATGTGCCTAAAATCAAACTGGTAATCTAAAAATCACATTTCATTTTTTGACCCCAAACCAGCTAGCTTCACTGCGGTACCAACCTTCACTTTTCCTTTCACCCCTTTGTCTTCCATTCCTTTAAGCAACATTCCTCAGAGTTATTCATCCTTTTTGTTTTCAAACTTTCTTGCCGCTTTCTCTTTAATCCAACCTAATGAGGCTTTTGCCTCTACTCCTCCAAGAAAACAGCTATCAGGTAAGACCTCCATGTTGTTAATTCAGTTGTCAAATCCTGACTCATTTTACTCTCATCTGAAACTTGATATGATTTCTTTCTCTAGAATGTCCTGGTATCTTTCTGGTTGATCCTGCACAGTCACCTAAGCTGGTGTGTATCACCTGACACCTATAGTTTGGAGGTAGGCTCAGTGTTTAGACTTCTCTTTTATAATTTACACGTCATATGTGGATTTTTTTTCTTTCAGTTTTATGGCTCCAATTACCATTCAAATGTTGAAAACTCCAAACTTACATCTCCAACCTGAAATGCTCCTTCAAACTCCAGACATCTCTATTTGGATGCTCTAGACATCCCACACTTTATAGATCCAAAATCAAGCTTCTGATCCTTCTTCCATAATTTTGTGTCTTCCATTCTTTTCCATCTTAGTAAACCTATTCTTCCAAGTGATCAGGGCAAACATTTTGGAGCAATCATTGACTCCTCTCTTTTCTCTCACATAATCCCACCTCCAATATATCAGCAAATCCTGTCATATCTACATTCACAATCAAAACTGCCTACATAATTTGTGGGGTCTTATGCAAAATAAAAATGTAGGATTATCTATTCAAAAATCACTAAGAATTTCAAGACTGTGACAGCAGAGCATTAAACTAAGTGCAGAGCCCTCTGCAACTGCCTAGGACACCTTTCTATAAAAACCTGTATACAATACACTCATTCCAACTGCTTTTCACCTTTTCCAATATCATGGGGCCCAAAGCCACCATCATTTCTCTTTGAACTATTTAAATAATATCCTACCAAGTATTCCTGATCCCCCATTGACCCTCTGCATTTATTCTCAACTGAGCAGTCAGAGTGACCTATTAAAAGATAAGTCAGATCCTATAACTTGTCTGCTCAAAATTCTCTAGTGACTCCTGTTTCACTCACAGTGAAGCCTCCATTTCTCTTTTGCATCCTAAGTTAGTATGTCATAATTTCACATATAGATAACTACAGTATCTTCCAAGTCTACTTATTCTACTCTCTTCTGATTTTGATCTGCCTGGATGCCTTAATAAGGCCAATCTTTATAAAACACTGTTTACATCACCTCATTTAATAATACACAATCCTTATATCATAGTATTTGAAGCAAAATCTCCTCTGGCTCATAAGTCTTCCACTGCCTACCCCAACTCTACAAAAGAATACCATTGTCTATTTTTTTTCTCCAAAAGACATCAATCACAGGTTGTTGTTCTTGTACTTTCTACCATGTAATGAGACAACAAGAAGGCATTTCTATGATGTCATGAGACAAGATTAAGATGCCAACATCTTAATCTTTGACTTCACAGCTTCAGAACTACATGCATTACTCTTTTGGGTTGAGCAAGTTGGGAGCTAAGGGAATATTGCTTTCAATGCATCTTGTCATAGCAGCTCTTATTATAAAGAAAGGGGCTCAAGATGGCTGACTGGAGGCATCTGGTACTTAGCTCATCCCCAAAGAATAACCAGAATAGTAAGAATAGTAAGTAAGTAGATAATAGTAAGTAAGTAGATAATCACACTTAGAATGTTAGAGACTAACATAGGAATATGCCTGAATACTGTGTGAAGGCACTGCTCTTAGGAGGAAGCTCACACCATGTCCCACGTACCTCCCAGCCCCCTGAGTCCTACTCAGCTACAGTAAGATACCACATTGAGATCCCAGCCCCTACCAGAACACATTCTTCCCAGAGACCCAACAGCACTTTCATCTCCACAACCCTGAAGCCTTATTAACATTCCTTGCCCATGGCCACCACTATAGCTGACTGCTGATGCCAACGCTGAAGTGTGAGCCATTGGTAAGGGCGCTGCTCCCCCCCAGAAGCAGAGCCACCATGAATTTTTATGTGCCCTAAGAACAAACTTCCCAACCCACAGCCATCATGCTGCTGGCTGCCACCACCAGGGCCAAAGCATGAGAGAAGGATGAACTCCCCAGCCACCTAAATGTACTGCTGCCACTAAAAGCAATGTCACCCTCCCCAGTAGCAGGGCTTCAGTGTAGCTTCTGCCACTCCCACTGGATTATTCTGCTGGTGGTGTGGAGATCACTGTGTCCCTGCCTACCATAGCCAATACCTGCATGCACAACTAGGGGGTCTGAGGACAGGTCCACCTAACCTGACTCTGTCTCCCCAGTGCCTGAGCATGCCATCTGGGGACATGGGGACCACGTAGGCCACTTCGCCATCACTAGTGCTTGCGTACATCTCCTGGGGGCCTGAGATTGGTCCCACCCAACCTACCTCTACTACCACAGCTGGCATCCATCTGCATGTGTGCCACCTGCAGGCCAGGGGATTAGCCCACTCAGCTCATTGCAGCCACTGTCAACATCAGTGCAGACTGCTTGGGAACCAGAGAATTCACTCACCTGCCTGGCCCATCGCTGCTACTACTACCACCTAAGCTCAAGAATCAGGTCACCTAGTCCTGCTAACACTGGTTACAGCATATGCTACACTAGGGCCCAAGGACAAGTATGCTTGGCCTGCTGCTGCCATGACTGGAGCACAAGGACAAACCCACCTGACATCCACATGCTCAGATAAACTTCACATAGCCTCACTAACAACCACACCCTAAGCCACTGAGGAAATCACTGACACTGTTTATAGCTGAAGAAATCATATGGAGACTACACTACTGCATGGGCTTAGAATCAAAGCAAATGTACCCTACTCAAACAACACCACAGATATATCTTCAGGGAAAACTTCTCTCCTACAAAAGCAAATTCAAAAAATTGGAAGAGACAACTGTTATACCGGATGCACAAATATTGATTTAAAGACACAAGAAACATAAAAGAGCAAGAAAATATGACACCTCCAAAGGAATACAATAATTTAATAGCAGACTACAATCAAAAACACATTTATAAAACCTGGGGAAAATAATTCAAAATAATTCCAAAAAATCTCAGTGAGATGCAAGAGAATAGAGAAAAAAATAAAATAAAAAAATCAAAAAAATAATTCAGGATATGAATGAAAAATTTATCAAAGAGATGCCACACAAAAGAACCAAACAGAAATTCTGGAACTGAAGAATTCATTTTGTGAAATACAAAATACATTAGAAGACTTCAATAATAGACTAGATTAAATGGAAGAAAGAATTTCATAACTTGAAAAAAGGTATTTTGAAATAACCCAGTCAAACACAAATAAATAAAAAAGAATTGAAAAGAATGAGCAAGGCCTACATAACTATGGAACACAATAAAGTGACCCAATATTCAAATTTTCAGGTGTCCCAGAACACATAGAAAAAACAAAAAAGATAGAAATCCTATTTAATAAAATGATAGCTACAAATTTCCCAAGACTAGCAGGAGATTTAGACATCCAGATACAGAAAGATCAAAGATACCTAAAAACATGCAATTCAAAAATATCTTCTCCATGGCACATTATGGTAAAACTGTCAAATGTCAAAAAAAAGAGAATTCTAAAAACAGCAAGAGAAAAGTATATAGTTACTTATAAGGGAACCCCCATTGGACTAGTAGCAAATTTCTCAGTAGAAACCTTACAAGCCCAGAGAGAATAGGATGATATATTTAAAGTGTGGAAAGAAAAAACTTGACAGCCAAAGATACTATACCCAGCAAAGTTGCCATTCATAAATGAGGGAGAAATAGTTTTTCCCAGACAAGCAAAAGCTGAGAGAATTCATTACCACTAGACCAGCCCTATAAAAAATACTTAAGGGAGTCCTACATCTGGAATCAAAATGTTGGCATCTACCATCATCAAAATTCATGAAAGTATAAAACCCACTGGTACAGCAAACACACAAATAAGGATGAGAAAGGACTAAAGTGTTACCACTACAGAAAACCACCACACCACAGTGATAAAAATAAGGTAGGAAGAAAAGAACAAAGGATACACAAAACAACCAGAAATTAATTAATAAAACAATAAGAATAAGCCCTCACATATCAATAATAACCCTGAATGTAAATGGATAAAACTTTCCACTTAAAAGATATAGACTGGCTGAATGGATTAAAAAATAAAAACCATAACCCCACTATATATTGTCTTCAAGAAACTCATCTTATATGTAAAGACACACATAGACTGAAAGTAAAGAGATGGAAAAAATTATTCAATGCAAGCACAAAACAAAAGGGGGCAGGAGTAGCTATACTCAGGTAAAACAGACTTTAATTCAAAAACATTAGAAAAAAAGAAAGACAAAAAGTCATTGTATAATGATAAAGGAATAAATTCAATAAAATGATATAACAATCTAAACATATACGTACCCAACACTGGAGCAGTCCAATATATAAGCAAATATTATTGACCTAAAAGGAGAGATAGACTCCAATACAATAATATTTGGGGAATTTAACACCCCACTCTCAACATTAGACAGACCATCTAGACAGAAAATTAACAAGGAAACACTGGATTTAAACTGCACTTTATACCAAATGGACTTACAGACATTTACAGAATATTTCACCCAATAGCTTCAAAATATACATTCTTCTCCTTAGCACTGATATGGTTTGGCTCTGTGTCCCCACCTAAATCTCATATTGAATTGTAATTCACATTGTTGGGGGGAGGAACGAGGTGAGAGATTATTGGATCATGGGGGCTGACTTTCCTCATGCTATTCTTATGATAGGGTGAGTTCTCATGAGATCTGATGGTTTGAAAGTTTGTGGCACTTCCCTCCTTGGTATCTCTCTCTCTTTCTCTCCTGTCACCATGTGAAGAAGGTGCTTGCTTCCCCTTCACCTCCTGCCATAATTGTAAGCTAACTGAGGCCTCCCAGTCATGCTTCCTGTTAAACCTGCAGAACTGCGAATCAATTAAACCTATTTTCTTCATAGATTAGCCAGTCTCAGGTAGTTCTTTATAGCAGTATGAAAATGAACTAATACAAGCACATTGAACATTATCCCATATAGACCCATATGTTAGGCATGAAACAAGTCTTAAAATTTTTTAAAAAGTTGAAATCACATCAAGTATCTTCTCAGACGACAGTAGAATAAAACAAGAAGTCAATAACAAGAATTTGAGAAACTGTACAAAATACATGGAAATTAAACAACGTGCTCCTTAATGACCTTTGGGTCAAAGAAGGAATTAAGGAGGAAATTAAAAATTTTCTTGAAACAAATAAGAATTGAAACACGACATTCCAAAACCTATGAGATATAGCAAAAGTAGTGTTAAGAGGGAAGTTTACAGCAATAAATGCCTACATCAAAGAAGAAAGATTCCAAATAGACAGCCTAACAATGTACCTCAAGGAATCAGAAGAGCAAGAATGAACCAAACTCAAAACTAGTAGAAGGAAAGAAATAATAAAGATAGGAGCAGAACTAAATGAAATAGAGACTAAAACAAAAAATACAAAGGATCAATTCAATGAAAAGTTGGTTTTTTGAAAATATAAACAAAATCAGTAAATTGGTAGCTAGGCTAATCAAGATATAAAGAGAGATGACTAAAAGAAATAAAATCAAAAATGAAAAAGGTGACATTTCAACTGATACTACAAAAAGACAAAAGATCATCAGAGACTATTACATACTGGGAAACCTAGATAAAATGGATACATTGCTGGACACATACAGTCTACCAAGATTGGGTCAGGAAAAAATAGAAAACATTAACAGACAGTAACAAGCAATGAGATTGATTCACTAATAAAAAGTCTATTAGTAAAGAAAAGTCCAAGACTGATGGCTTCATTGCTGTATTCTACCAAACATTCAAAGTAGAACTAACAACAATTCTAAAATTATTCTGAAAATTTGGAGGGAATACCCTCTAGCTGGGTCTATGAGGCCAGGATTACCCTGACACCAAGAACAGACAAGGACACAACAAAAAAGAACTATGGGTCAATATCCCTAATGAACAAAGATGCAAAAATTCTCAATAAAACACAAAACTGAATCCAACAGCTAATCAAAAAGATAATACATCATGACCAAATGAAATTTATCTCAGGAATGCAAGAGTAGTTCCACATACTCAAATAAATAAATGTGATACATTATGTCAACAGAATGAGGGACAAAAGTCAAATAATCATCTAAATAGACACAGGAAAAGCATTTGCTAAAATTTAATATTCTTTCATGATAAAACTCCCTAGAAATTAAGTATAGTAGGTATGTACTTCAACACAATAAAGACCATATATAACAAAGCCCAGCTAAAATTATATTAAATGGGGGAAAAGCTGAAAACCTACCTGTAAGAACTGGAACAAGGCAAGGATTCTGACTTTCATCAGTCCCATTGAACATAGTCCTGGAAGTCCTAGCCAGAGCAATTAGGAAAGAGAAAGAAATAAAAGGCATCCAAATTGGAAAGGAAGAAGTCAAATTGTTTCTCTTTGTAGATGACATGTTTTAATATCTAGAAAAGCCTGAAGACTCCAGCAAAAAAAAAATTTTTAGATCTGATAAGTAAATTCAGTAAAGTTGCAAGATACAAAATTACCATACAAAAACAAATAGCATTTTGATACACCAATAATGAACTAGCTGAAAAAGAACTCAAGAAGGCAATCCCATTTACAATAGCTACAAAAAATTAAAATACCTAGAAATAAATGTAACCAAGAAGGTAAATGACCTTTATAAGAAAAACTATAAAACACTGATGAAAGAAATCAAAGGCAACACAAACAAATAAAAAGATATCTCATGCCCATGGATTGGAAACATTAATATTGTTAAAATGACCATACTGCCCAAAGCAATCTACAGACTCAATGCAATCTCTATCAAAATACCAATCCTAAAATTTATATAGAAGAAAAATGAGCTTGAATATCTAAAGCAATCCTGAACAAAAAGAAAAAAAGCTGGAGGCATTACACTATCTGACTTGAAAATATATTAAAAAGCTATAGTAATCAAAACAGCATGGTATTGGTATAAAAACAGACACAAAAACCAGTGGAATAGAATAGAGAACCCAGAAATAAATTCATGTATTTACAGCCAACTGATCTTCAACAAAGGCACCAAGAACATACATTGGGAAAAGGACAATAAATAAATACTGGTTGGGAAAATTAGATATCCATATGCAGAAGAAGGAAACTGGAGCCTTATTTCTCACCATACACAAAAATCAATGTAAGATGGATTAAAGACTTAAATGTAAGACCAGAAACTATAAAACTACTAGAATAAAACATAGGGGAAACACTTCAGGACATTGGTCTAGGCAAGGATTTTATGGTTACGATCTTGAAAGCACAGGCAACAAAAACAAAAATAGATGAATGGGATAATATTAAACTAAAGAGCTTCTCCCATCACAGAAAACAATCAATAGAGTAAAGAGACAACCTGTTGATTGAGAGAAAATATTTGCAAACTATTCATCTGACAGGGGACTAATATTTAAAATATATGAGGAACTCAAACAATGAAACAGTGAAAATTTCCCATTAGAAAGTGGGCAAAGGACACAAACAGATATGTATCCAAAGAAGACACACAAATGGCCAACAGATATATGACAAAATGCTTAACATCACTAATCATTAGGGAAATGCAAATCAAAACCAAAATGAGATATCATTATACCTCAGTTGAAGTGGCTACTATTGAAAAGAAAAAAAAAACAGATGCTGGCAAGAATGTGGAAAACAGGTAACTCATGCACTGTTGGTGGGAAAGCAAACTAGTTTAGCCAATATAGAAAACAATATGAAAATTTCTCATAAAACTAAAAGAAATACCACATGGTCCAGTAATCTCACTACTGGGTATTTATCCAAAGGAAATCAGTAAATCAAAGGAATATCTGCATTTGTGTGTTTATCACACCACTATTCACAATAAGAAAGATGTGAAATCCACCGAAATCTCTATCAGCAGACGTCAGGATAGAGAAAATGTGGTTTACATGCACAATGGAATACTATTCAGGTGTAAAGAAAAATGGGATTATGTCATTTGCAGCAACATGGATGGAAATGGACGTCATTATGTTCAGTGAAATAAGCCAGGAACAGAAAAACAAATATTGCATGTTCTCACTCATATGTGGGAGCTTAAAAACTTAATCTCATAAACGAAGAGAATAGAATGATAGATACCAGAGGCTGGGAAGAGTGTGTGTGTGTGTGGGGCGGGGGGGGGTGGAAGGAGGATAAAGAGAGTTTAGTTAATGAGTACAAATGCAGGTAGATAGAAGAAATAAGCTCTAATGTTCCATAGCAAAGTAGGGTGACTGTAGTTAACCATAATGTATTGTAAATATCAAAATAGTTAGATGAGAGGACTTGAAATGTTCCCAACACAGGAATGATAAATACTTGAGGTGATGGACACACCAACACCCTGCCTTGATCATTACACAGTTCAAGAATGTAACAAAATACCACATGTACCCAATAATTATGTATAAATATAATGTATCAATAAAAATATTTTTAAAACTCCATTCATATTAGTCAAGCCAATGTCAAATATACTCTGCATTCACCCATAATCCTGCTAGCATCATTTCCTTTAATAGAAAGTATGTCTCATTGCTTGACGTCTGTCGTAATCATACACATCCTCCAAGGTGTCCTTTATTTTCTACCTCCTCCCTTAAGCCTTCTCTGATCATCTCATTCTCACTGATTTACCCTGCACTCTAATAGTTTTGTTGTTGTTGTTGTTTTATTGAGACAGGATCTTACTCCGTCGCACAGGCTGGAGTGCAGCGGTGTGATCTCGGCTTACTGCAACTTTCACCTCCCCTGTTCAAGCAATTCTCCTGCCTTAGCCTCCTGAGTAGCTGGGACTAAAGGTGCCCGGCACCAGGCCTGGCTAATTTTTGTATTTTTAGTAGAGGCAGGGTTTCACTATGTTGGCCAGCCTGGTCTCAAACACCTGACCTCAGGTGATCCACCCGCCTTGGCCTCTGTGCCTAGGATTATAGGCGTAAGCCACCGCACAGGGCCTCTTATAGATTTTTGTACTACCTACTTTAACATAAAGTTTTACTCTCTGAAATTGGTCACAAATTAATTCAGTTAATAAGCACTTTTTGGGTAGGGTCCATATATTTACTGTTCAATTTCCATTGTACTCTTAGCCCAAGGAAAGTACTCGACGTACATTTATTTATTGACTGATTGTAGACATGATCTTAGCTTATCTAATAGTTATTGATTTATTAAACACATTATATGTATTAACAAAGCACTAAATATTAAACAAACTGAGGTAGATCTTTCTGGAATAGTGCCAGAGAGGATATTCAATATACACAGAATAAGAAGAGCTATCATTTACTGGTCACTTGGCAAGCACTTTACTAAGGATTTTACATAGGTGAGCTAATTTAATCTTCTCAATAATCCTGAGTTAGACATCATTATGATTCTCATTTTATTTATGAGTAATCTGAAATTCAAAGGGACCCTCTCAAGGCACAAAGCTAGCAAGTGTTAGAATGGGTTTTAAATATAAGTGGTCTCATAGCTGAGCCCATACACTGAGCAGAATTTTCTCTCATAGTCTACATTTGTTTACTGTAAAATTTTAAGACCTAGGTCACTATCATAATTTGAATACAAAGTTCCCCTATATGCTTTGCTAAATACAAATAATAAATTTCCCTTTTTGCTTTATCAGAGGAGTATCAAGCCTTTGTACTTTGTCTTTGTCAGACATCAGAGAGAAAACCACTAGTCAAATATTCACCCATTTTTCAGTTAAGTCCACTTTATAAACAGCTCTTGGCAGCACAGAGAGCCCACATGGTGAGTGCATAGTGCTGTCTTTCAGTCATTCCACCACTGGGACAAGAGTTTCAAGGATCTGCCAGTCTTACAAATTAGTTTCAGAAAGACTTGTTTTCAATAGTTGAGTTTAAAAACATTCTAAATTACATTTACTACAGTTTGTTTAAAGCTTTTTTTTCTGGCCTATCTTTCTGAGTTGCAGCTTAATTTTTCACTGTCTCATTATAATTTCTCTCTTTTTTCTGGATTTCATCCTCTCATTCATTATTCTTTGTCTCCTCTCTTGTTTCTGGCTTTTCTTCCTGCAGCTGGGCTTTGGTTAGAAGGGGTGGACGCAGCTGCCCAACCGTTTTCACATTCTTTACTGATACGATTTTCTTGAGGTAAAACATCATTTAAGAAGTATTACTCAACAATTAAATGTTTCTGTCCTCCTCAAATTCTGTGTGTGAAAGTCTGCCAAGAAGATCCTTTGCAGTTGTTTGTATTGGTTTGGATCCCTTCCTGTTATGCATTATTTTATTTGTTCTGTGCTTGTTTGCCTTTTATGTAATATTTTCTCATAGTTCTAATTTCCTGTTTCTATTTAATCTTCACCACTGACTTGGTTCAACTGTTATCTTTCCTTTTTTTCTTTTTCAGGAGGAAGGGGTTCAAAGGCTACTTTTCCCTATAAGTTTTGACACTTATTAAACTACATGTTTCTTCAATGTAATGGGCTAAATTTTTACAGAGTTCAGGGGCAATTGTGAAGCTAGGAGTTGTACTCCTGCTTAGTTTTGAAGACTCTAACTTGTCCACTGTGCTCTTGGTTTGAAGCAGCAGCAATTTTTGTTGATATTACTACCTAAGGGTACAAAATTGTGCCCATGAGAAAGTGATCTGCTGTGGAAACCTTACACTATCTGGACTTCAGTGCTATTTCTAACTGGAAGTGCCTTAATCTTTCAAAAATTACAGTAGGCTTTTTCAGCATAGCATCTTAGCTGACTTTTCAATGGAACACTGAATAATTAAATATCAGGTTCTTCCTAAGTAATTGAACAAATCTTATTCATCATGCCTAGCTTATCTTTAGATAAATAGGGATGTATCAGGGTACTTCAATGCTGCTCTTCAACATTTACAGAAGGGAAAGGGATGGGATGGGTCCAGGGATAATATTAACGTATTTAACAATTATAAGCACCAACAATCAGAATGGAAGCCAGTCTTAGAGCAGGAGTTGGAAACCTTTGTCATGCCAGTACTTCCCACCTTGTTTGCTGAATTATTGGGAGGCTGGGGTCTTAGCAGTGGGGAACAGACGGTGCACTTAAGGCCCTTGAGCTAGTGTGGAATTATCTTAATACTTTAATAAGTGGCTACATTTTAGTCTTGGGTGAGAGTGTGCTCATTGTTGATTTATGTTCAGTTCAAATGCAGCAGTCCCTTCCAATTTATACATTGTGTTAGATTGGCCCGCAGACACTATGGGGATGGCATGTGATTTTCTACAGTGGTTCCTAGTGAAATCCTGTGTGCAGGTCAAGTTTAGATTTTTATTAATTGAGCTTCTCAACTCTATGGGAATCAGAGCCTACCACTGTCTATAGAAATAAAATTAAATATATATATATATATATATTTATTTCAAAATGCACTGAACTTGAGGTTGAGTTTTGGCCACACCAGTTATTAACTGCAATTTTGGGCAATTGCTTAATAACTTCATTTTCACCATCCTTTATCAGTAAAAGTGAGGGGATTGGATCAGATGAGTTCTACGTTCCCTTCAAGATCTAGCATTCTCTAATTCTATTTAAATACCAATAAGAAGACTTCTTTTGCCTGATATTTAATAGATAATTGAATAAAAATCAACTTACGTTTCAGGTCATGCAGGAAAACGTACCACATGACAAACTTCTGGGCATATAATCCATTCCTGAGAACTACTTATTCATTTCTTTCCACGAGTTTCCAACAGTGTTTAAAGACTATCTGGATAAACTTTTTTTTATTTGCATACAAAGGCAAATAATAATTATATAAAATAAAATACTTTTTCTCTATATGCTTAGCATCCAATTATTTTCTGAAGCATCACTATAGTCTTTCTGCAATGAAGGTGTAGTTATCCTAAACTCTTCCCTCTGTCTCATATGGAAGACAGAATTTTCAATGTTTATTTCACTTTAAGAATGGGTTGAACTTTTTGAAAGTGCATTGCTAAGATAGTATTTGTCATTTTCAGAACAATGGCAGAATTAGTTGTTTTTCACATTTATCAATTCATCACCATCAAAAAAAAGTCAGAACTTTTTTTTACTTTTTTTAAATTTTATTTTTATCTTAGTCACTAGACTACCAGGAACAGAACTATTAATATGTGGCATAAACCATCCTTACCCAAACTAACTAAATAAACAAACAAACAAGAAAGAGTAATTTCTTCTTAAACCTTAAAAACTGCTCTGAAATTACCTGAATCACACACTAGATTTCTTTTAGCCTTTGGCATTTCCACAGGTCTCTGATGTACAACAGCTAAATTGTCTAGGTCATATGGTTCTACCTTCCTACTGATACCTGTTTTACAAGACAGTAGTGTTAGTGCCTAATCATCACGTTTTGATGATGCCCTTATTCAAAAGATAAATCATGTTCTTTCACACAAAACAAAAAATATTCCCCTTAAGCTGAAAAGACCAATTTTGCCTTTTCTAGTTAAAGTATTAGTTATCATGCTATAGGTCCTCTGTGACAAATATGCCTTCTATGAGGCAAACAGCTCTAAGACAATGAGTGCCTTGTTTATGGTTGTGGTTCAATATATTTCTATTGACTTTAGGTGTAAGCTTTGTTGGTTTTAATTTAACTGGAGTGCATATGTTTATGAAAGACTGTCCAAACCAAACTGAGAGGGAAAATAGGCTAGAAACTAGAAAGAAGAACTGGGGCTAAAAATGAGAAAGAAGAACCAGGCCAGGAAGAGATTCAGCCTGCTGGTTTGGTTAAAAATGTATTCATTTGTTTTTCCATCTATTTATCCATACAGCATCAAAGAAATATTTATTCAGGGCCTAATATTTCCTAGGAAAACAAATGTTGGTCCCATGGAATTCATCTTTTGAAGATACATGAAAGATATAAATTATTATGTAATATATATAATTTATAAAGATATAAATTATTTAGTCAGATTTGTGAAACTAGAGGAATATAAAGTACAGTGGTGATAATAGTAACACAGATTTATATAGGTCTTATCTATGCCAGGCAATCTTCTAATCAGTTTACATTTACTCTTTACAATAAGAAGTATGAGGCCAATAATTACAACTGTCATTCCCATTTTGTGGGTGGAAAACTGAAGCACAGGAGGGTCCCTGTCCAGTGGCAGTGGATTCTGGGTCTGTCGAGAGAAATCACTTCTCACAGAGTGGAGACTGAGTTATCTCAGAGACGAGATTTCAGTTACAAAGGATCTTGTGTGTGGCAACCACTGAGCCAAGCCATGGATACTAGTCCTACCATCACATTTCTCTTCCCAGTTATTAGTAGGCCCCAGTTGGTAATTTTTAAAGATTATTTCTTGAAAAGAGCTCAATGACTGACAAATTCCCCCTGTATCCCATCTTGATCAATCCTGATGCATGAAGCGTCTGATCGGAGCCCCTTTTATCAGGGACCTAACGAGGGAGAGGCCCAGAGCTGCTAGCAGGCTTCCAGGTATTCGCCTGCCATGCCACAGGCATCTTTGGATGGTTCCCATTGCTTCCCGTTACAGTTTCTGACTCTGAGGCATTGCTAGAGAAACCTGTCCTGCCAGTCAGTCAAGAAAAAAACATTAAGAAAAATTACCATTCAGGCCAGGCGCAGTGGCCCACGCCTGGAATCCCAGCACTTTGGGAGGCCGAGGTGGTGGGTAACGTGAGGTCAGGAGTTTGAGACCAGCCTAGACAACATGGTGAAACACTGTTTCTGCTAAAAATGCATAAAATTAGCTGGGTGTGGTGGTGGATGTCTGTAGTCCCAGCTACTTGGGAGGCTGAGGCAGGAGAATCGCTTGAGCTCAGGAGGTGGAGGTTGCAGCAGTGAGCAAGACTCTGTCTCAAAAAAAAAAAAGACTATCTAGCTCATATGTGTGAAAGTTTACCTGGTATATATGAAAGCAATACTTATTTTATAAAGTTTAAATTATTACACAGTCTATTTTTTCACCTAAAATAATTAGAGAGAATGATTATGTCCAATTTTGTTGAAAATGCAGGGAAACAAATTTGCTTATCACAGTTGTAGAGCTGTAAATTGGCACAACAATGGGGATATATTTTGATATGATAAGATATAATAGATGTGCGCAAAGATCAATGAGCAGTTGTTAATTATAGATACTTTACTGTGAATAAAAAATTGGGAAAATTTACCTAGTAATAGGGAACTGGCCAGTTAAATTATGTTATCTCCAAACAATGAGATACCATGTAGGCATTGAAATTCACATTGTGAAAGATTATTGATGGGAAAGAGTTAATTATGTATTTAATATTGAATTAAAAAATTGACTATCAAATAATATATGCAGTATATCATTTTTATAAAGAATGGTAAATATATATATAATGCAAATGCATAGGCATGTAAAATTGTACTGATAGATAAAAATGTGTGTATGTGTATAAATAAATTTAGTTTAGAAAATTGTTGACTAACATTTTACTACTAATGGAATTACGAGAATTTTTAAAAATCTGCATTTAGCAATTAGAACAAAGTAATTACTATATAAGATTGTTACTAGGTAAAGGGTAAGAAATTCAGATAAGATAAAATGCCTCACTCTCTTCATAACATCACTTGTTATTATTATTTTTAAATAAACCTGGCCCTTCGCATTCACGTTTGATCTACAATTTGCCCACATCAGTTACCCGTCCTTTGGTTGATACCCTTCCCTAAGGTCTTTATTAAGGGATATTATAGGTTTTTAAAATTGACTAGTCTACATTATTGCCATCCTGTTCACCTATGAGAAAACAGCTTAGATCTCACAATTAATGAAGGGTAGTGATTCAGCAACGGTGTTTGTTTTATTTGAATATTATTCTAGATCAGAGGTCATTATGTGGCAGTGCTTAGGCTGAGGCTGGGCCACAGGTGTTGGGATTAACTCCTGTAGTGTTCTCTAATATTTAAAAAGCATAAGATTATTTCATATAAAAATCCAGATATTAGGATCCTTTTGAAAAACAGATAGGCCTTACAATGCAGAACTTGAATTTCCACCAGACAGTGATTAGCTGGAGACTAGTAGACATTTTCCTTTATAAATGGGCACACATGCTCCAGTTAGCCATGGCTGCAGCCACCCCTTACTTTACCTTATTTTGGCTGAAATTCCTTGTCTAAGTTTATAGGCATTTTTGTTGCTGTCTCTTTTTTGGATCACCCCTATTTTCATCATATTTAAAGATTAAGATGAAATTAATAAATTGATAAGATAATTTGATGAGTATTTTCTTTATCATCTTAAGTAACATCATCCAGATGACAATTGGCCCTCTAATTTCAGAGTATGTTTCTATTTTATTTCCCTAAAAATAATAAGAGGGAGAGATACAGAAAGCAGGGGCTAGACAGAGAGAGAACATAGCAAAAGCATTTATCAGAGGAACACTTGTAATGTCAAAAAAACTGGTAATTGAAAGATTTTGGTTGTCTGGTTTACAATTTTCTCAGCCATAAAAAATTACTTTATTTGTATTTGAACAAGTCAATATTCAGTTTGTGTTTTAAAGTAAATTACTGAGCCTTTTTTCCCAACTGCCTCTGAGAATAGAAGAAGGAAATTAATGAACTATTAAAAAGAAACTAGCTTCACAAATTTATAGAAATTAAAAAAACAGAAAAACAGATTTGCTGGGAATATTACAAGGGTGCAATGATCCCCTGGCCTGTTAGGACATGAGGTATCAACTAATGTGCAATTAAAAAATAAAACCTGTGAGAAGGCAGTGTGGGAGAATAAAAGCCTATTAATGCACTCCTAAGGATTGAGGTTCTTGCCAGCAGAGCCATCTGTCAAGAGATTACAGAGAAGGAAATTTCTGCAGGAATCTTCCCCTGGGACGAGATAAAGTGCCAAGAAAAGGTGTGTGGCATCAGGAGTGAGGACAAACTCCGAGAGTCCTCTGCAGTGCTTATCGCAGACAGAGAGGAAACCATCCACCCACTGGCAGTCAGGGAAGAGGAAGAGAAGAGAGGGAAGTCTCTGGATTGCTTTTGACCAGAGAAGTGAGGTCGTATTGAAAAGAGTTTACAAAAACAAATTCCTTATAAGGTAAGTTAAACCTTGTTGTACTACACTCTTAAAATTTTCCAAAATACAACGTTTTATACTAAGGGCACTAATGAGAAAATGAATATTAATTTTATGAGTCACATTTACAGAAAATGATCAGAAATAGTTGAGGAAAAGTAAAATGTCATTTTTCTTGAAATCTTGAGTCTTTGGAGTTTATGAAAATGCCCAAGATGTTATTTAGATAAAATGTTGTACTAATATGCTATTTTCACTTATTTCTTCAAAATAAATGCCGTTTAAAAAGTAATCAAGATAAACTCATGATTATTTGCCTCTTGAGAATTAAGAACATGCCATGCTGTGAAATAATTAAAAACCATATGACCATGAAAGTTACAAGACTTGATAATAGAGAAATATATTTTTTAAAGTTTCTAGAATCATGGCAGGAAATGATACTTTAATTTTAAGATTCTAAATAGATCTTAGTTCATTTCCTGATCTATGTTTCTATATGGTAGTATTCTGTATATTTTAATAATTATTATTCCTATTTCCTTTGGTGATTGATTTTATTTTTTTCTAAGATGAGAAAAAATGTTGATTATAAAGAGGAAAAATATCACAAATTTATTATCTTGAGAATTAGATAAGCATTATACATTTTTTCTTTCAGAATTTTGTCAGAAAGAGAGCTGTTTAAATGCAATAAAATAAACATGTTAGAAGGCATGTCTTGTGCTAATTTACAAATGTTTTTAAACTTATAATATTGGTAAGAAATTGTTACTCAGAAATTAGGACTAAACATGCTTTAATTAAATTTTATTTTGCATTGATCAAAATAGAGATATTCTCCTTAAGTCACTGGTTACTTAAGGAAATGGAGATGTGCAGACATAAACATAAGTTCTAGACAGGGAGAAGAAATAAATCTTATCTGTTGGGAAAGAAAATAAAGTCAAATAACACAGTGCTAAGTCTGGCTGATCACAGCGATCCAGTGTTCATGCTGGCACTGTGCCCATAGCAGATTATTGCATTTGTAATTGGAGAGAAATTAACCTGTGAATTTAAGTCAAGTTATTCTGCGAATTCAATTAGAGTGGACAATTAATTTTAATAACCCAGGGTTTTGAATCTTCCTTCCTCTCCTACAAATGAACAATTTTTCCTGATTTATCAGAATATTATTTAAATTCTACTTTCTATTTAATTATTTTATCCATTCCTCCATTTACTTGTTCATTCAACCAATATTCAATGAATAATGTCCAGGTGGAAGGCACTATTTGGCTAGGCATGAAATAATGAACTGACGTGGTCCCTGCTCTCAAAGGGCTTATAGACCAGTACACTGCATACAAAGTTTCCCTTTAGCTTCATAATAATTTAACAAACAAAATTTAAATCTATTTTACCAACATGAATTTGAGGTTGACAGAAGGTAAGTGATAGCAGTAGGAAGTATCTATGTTAACATTATAATTCAAGACTTTCAGTACATTGGTTTTATTTGTTCTTTAGTATTTTTTTTTCCTGATAGTTTTTTTTTTATTATACTTTAAGTTTTAGGGTACATGTGCACAACGTGCAGATTAGTTACATATGTATACATGTGCCATGTTGGTGTGCTGCACCCATTTACTCATCATTTAACATTAGGTATATCTCCTAATGCTATCCCTCCCCCCACTTCCCCCACCCCACAACAGGTCCCAGTGTGTGATGTTCCCCTTCCTGTGTCCATGTGTTCTCATTGTTCAATTCCCACCTATGAGTGAGAACATTTGGTGTTTGGTTTTTTTCCTTGCGATAGTTTGCTGAGAATGATGGGTTCCAGCTTCATCCATGTCCCTATAAAGGACGTGAACTCATTATTTTTTATGGCTGCATAGTATTCCATGGTGTATATGTGCCACATTTTCTTAATCCAGTATTTTTTTATTTGTTTAAAGTAGCAAGGACTGAGCATTATTTACTCTGCTCTTGGGTTCTCATTAAATTCTTTACTTTAATAAACATGAAACAAATTAGTTTTTACATAGAAGAGGACAAGAATTCTTGTGCAGCAAAATGTCCTCTTCTATGTAAAAACCAACCTCTAAATATTGTCTATTTAAAATTGGAAAATAGATTCTTACCTACTATATTCATTGTTATTCCTACAATTAATTTTTGGTAATGTGCATTTCTATCAGTTTTGGCAGTATTATGATGGTTTATCCTAAACAAAAGTGATATTTAAGTTTTTGAGTTATGAAGATCTTCTCTGGGATCCTTGCCAGAAACAATGAAGTTCTTGCTTGGACCAGTGGGTCCAGAAACTGTCACTTCAAATAAAATGTGTTTATAAGAGAGCACTGTCTTCATATCTTTTCCAAATAATAAAGTACTAAATTCAATAGCCAATATTTTGATAATGCAACATATGTACTATAATATGAATATAGTATTCTTGTCATAGAGAATGAGTTAGTCAAAATAAAACAAGTTGCAGTCATATAACTGTGCAACTATTAGGAACAGACTCTTTAACATTAAAATAATGTAGTAGTTCAAAGGCACATAATGAAAGAGAACAACTGATTACTTTTGACTCTTTTTATCAGATGAAATCTATATTAGGCTTTTAGTTAGAGTTTGATATTTTTAGTCTTCAAAGAACATTTATTGGTCACAGAACATTTTCTTATATTATGTATTTTTGAATATTGATCTTTTTTGTCTCTTTATGTATATACAGTTGGAGAATACATTATTTTTGAGGTGGCCAGATAATTAAAAGAAGTTCTCACAGTCTCCTCTCTGCCTAGTACCTAAATGCTTTTTATCTAGAAAGTGACAGATCCCCAACCAAAACAATCTCTGAACTACTGTTCACATGAAGGGATGTGGACACATGAAGGGATGTGGACACACAGATGAACAGAAAGCTGAGCATGAAATACCAAAACTCCTGGGTTTCAATCTTAACTCTGCTGATTACCACTTTCCCAGCTGTAAAATAGGGATAATAATAGCACTATTGTTATTATGTGGATCAAATGAGATAATGTATGCATGGCTTTATCATATTGTGGTGGTAATGATGATGATGATGATGATGATTGTGGTGGGGATAATGATGAGATTCTCAAGAAATTCAGACATTTCCAGGGCCTGTGTGGATTTTTACATTAGCCCTTCACTGTGTCCAGTTTTGAGTTTCTTTATTGCATCCCATGCAAGCCACCAGAGATAGCTTTCTGAAGAGCAAATCTGGTTGTGTCACTTCCACAGAGTGGCTCTCCATCACCTATGGCTAAAGACTCACACTCTTTAGTGTGGGATATAAGGCTCTTCTCTCATGCCCCTTCAGTTTCTCACACTCCTGAGTCTTGGCACATATTCTGGTCTCTCTGCCTGGATCACCTACTCTTTGGTCCCACTTGTGTAATTTGAATTTAACCTTCAACACTGAGCTCCAGCTGCCAAAAAGACTTCTGATTCCAGCTTCACCTACCTCCCTCCATACCCAGGACTGTGCATAGGTCTATCTTGGCTCAAATTTTAGTCGGTCAGCTTGTCATTTCCTTAAAAAAAAAACCCTGTGAATTATTTGAAAACGGAGGCCATATCTTTTTTTCATTAACTAGGAATTACAATTTCTAACACATAGAAGGTGCATAATAAATGTTAATAGATACATGGATGTTCTAGTGAGCAGGTAGGAAGCCTCTCCTTTTACAACTCTGTTCATTTTCTGGGTACTGATGTCATGCAGGGGTGTTGATATAAAGACACGGATTCATGAAATGTAAGGCAAGAACGTCCATAAGTACAACTTGTGGATGTGGCTTTTGATCTTTTAAATAAAATTTTTAAATCTGTTATTTTATCTTTTTATGCTACTTAGCTGGAATAAGATAATTCATTATAGTGCTTTTAATTTTAAACATAATTTTTAAAATAGTACTTTACCAGTAAAGAATGAATTATTTTTGTTGAAATTTTTGATCAAACTACATGGCCCATTATGTCACCAAAGTGGTAGTAAGAAAGTTCTGGGTCTTTGCTGTTCACTTTTCTCTGTGGAGGTGTTATGCTGAATCTTGTACTTGGACGTCATGATTGTAATTGTGCTTAGAATGATTGTATCAGTCTGGGGATAAAGATGTGGTCTTAGGAAATGAAATTAATATCTCCAAAATACTATATCAGGTTATTAGTGTTGTTATGAATAATTTCAATCTGTTTATGGAAATATTGAACTGTGTTATGAGACTCTTAAAAATTTCCATGCTATACTCAGAGAGGTAAAGCAAGACAAAAATTTTAAAGGAAAAAAATGAGGAGGATTAATGTAATTGTTTTGAGACCTTGGCTACAAAGGTCAATAACAAGGGTGACACCAGTCTGAACTTGGACAGGCAGTTGTTGGGCAGATGCCCTGGCACAAGTATTTTTGGTGTGGGGTTGTGACAGCCTTTGTGCAAGGTTGTGCACTTTGTGGAGTCTTTCGTGATAGTTTAAAAAGAAAATTCCCACGCTACACTGAGATTTTGAATATGAATTGGAATTTTAATGTGGTTTGCATATTTTTGAATAAGCAAATGTAGAGAACTCAGATATGCTCTCTATCCCCTCCCTATCAATAGTGAGCTGCTTTCAGGAGCTTTAATCTTAAATTTCTTGCACTCTGAAAGAAAAAAATGTTTTCAAAGAACAACAAGAGCTTATGTTTCGAGGTTCTTTCCTGCTCTTTCCTTTAGCACCTGTGTTGTTCGTGGTCTTTTCTGCTGCTATAACTAGAAAAGCATAAGAGGGAAAATATCGTATTACAGGCAGGTACTCACCACTTCATTGCTTTTTCTCCTGCCAGATTCTGCTCATGTGGCTCTATCTTCTCTTGCTGCCCATATAGATAAGACCGTTCTTGGAGTCTCCCTTTTGAGGTTCTATATCCTCCTTCCAGTGCAATAAACCAAAATCAGCACTAATCAGTTGCATAGTTCTTGTTCTAACACTAAACTTGTTAGACAGCTGTGCTATCCCCATGGATTTTCTTAGTTGGTCTTTTACTTACCATGTAAAGCAATTGTGGCACAAACTGATTTGGAATGAAAATAGAAGCACAACCTCAAACGTAACTGCTATGTCAATAAGTAATACTACAGTAATAGTGAGTTAGCATAAAATTATATTACTTTCTAGATAGGTGTTTAGTTTTCTTCTATTCTTTATGCTCTATTCAGGTACCAAGGATTCTTTCTTATTTGTATTTTTTTCTTTCAGCAATATCTATTGAAGGTCTACTGTGTAGATGCATTATGATTCAAATTATACTTACTGAATAAATGAATCTACATAGTGAATTTTTGAAATGCTTCTTTGTGGTTCTAGGACCTAGCATAAGTTTTGGCGCAAGTATATACTTAATCTTTGTCAATACTTGAATACACTAAACAAAGTTGGACTACATGCCATGAGTAGGCAGCTTGGAGAAAGTGAGTAGGTCCTATTTAATTTTCAGGAAGAAAGATGAACAACTTCATAAAATAACATCCCTCAAACCATTGAGTTTCTCTGAGACATTTTCAGGGGAGGATAATCAGAGGAGGAAGGCTTTAAGCCCCATTCTGGGACCTCTGAAGCTGTCAGTTTTAAAGCCTGCCTCTAAGGTTACACAGGAACACAACTGTAAGGGAGAGTCACAAAATTCTATTTAATTCCATGGAATGCAATTCGATAGTGCCTAGGAAAAATATCTAAATAAAATAAAATACTATGATAAAATAAAATTCTACATAAAGTAAAATACTGTTCTATGAAATTGAAAAGTCTAGATTAATTGAATAACAATTAAAGTGAAAAATAGGGAAATCAAATGACAAATCTCAACTATGTAAATTCCTATTTCTTTCTTTCTTTCTCTTTCTTTCTTTCTTTCTTCTTTCTTTTTCTTTCTTTCTTTCTGTTTGTTTCAATAGCAGTTTCCTTGTTGCTCTTTCTCAAAAAATTGCTGAGGTAAACTCCTTACCGTTATACAGTATATTTTGTGGAGCATGTAGTTATAGAATTACTTTATTATTATTACTAATGAGGAACACCATAGAAGTTACATTTATATAACAGTTTATGATTTCTTAGTCATAAATGTTAGCAATGTAAGGGACCTTAGCAGCATTCTAAATAAATTCCCTTCTTTTTACAGATGAGGGAACCGAATGATACAGTGATTAACTTATTGGTTTTATTTCAGGGAAAAATGAACGAAAATTGTCATTCAGAATTATTTTTTCAGTTATATGAAAAGTGGTTGTCAATGAGACACTCAAGGTCGAGTTGATATCTGGCTTTATCTTCTTTTAAAAATGAATTTAATAACTTCATTAAAATCTAAGAATATATAAAGGCAGCAATACCATTACTCAGTTAACAGAGATTTACTTATCATAATTTCAAACAAGGAATTCATCAAGTTGAAAATTCTTTCCAAGGAACTGTCCGGTATTCAAAGAACATGAGGGCCATATCACCCATCATGCCCTTGATGAAAATCCCGACAACGTATTCTATATGTGGCTGAAAGAGGGCTGTTTTATGTCTCAGCTAGCTCAAGGTATAGCTGAACAAGAGACAGAGTTAAAGACTTCCTTCTTTTTAGAGAATCAAGATGTGCATAGTATTCTGGGTTGTCTATTCTGAGTCAGGTTTCCATAGTCTCAAGTTAACATGTCTAGACGTCCTTAAGGCTGTTTATCCTAGGTGTCCTTAAGCTTGAGAACCGGTCTTTAGAGGAGGGTCAGCTCTCACAGTGGCTCAAGACCCAAGGCCATTTGAGAGAAAAAACAGAATCAAGCACAGGAAGACAGTGCCTAAGACACTGACAGACAGCCATGGAAGGAAAAGCAACACACACACACACACACACACACACACACACACACACAAACATATATACACACACACACAATTTATGGAGAGAAGGAGATATACTATGGCAGTGACATCTTTATCTTTAATAAGGTACTAACTTTTTAAAAAATATGTAGCATGATTAGAATAAAACTGTCTTGACTCAAAGAATGAATATTTGAAAATATTTTCTTCCTTTGCATCTAGCTTAAGATAGCATTTCTGAATATCCGTACTGTGGGAACACCAGCTTTATGGAATGTTGTCCTACAATACTCCCCCAACACCCACATTCTAAGAATTTGGTGATCATATAACTTTGGGAAATATTGGTTTCAACAAAGACAAATAGCCATCTTTCATTTGGGGCTTAAAAAATCATTGTAAATTTGTACGGGAAGTATTTAAGATGCAGAATTTTCTGTATCAGCTACAGAAACTTTTGTGGTTTGAAGCATCTCATAGTACCAGCGTTCCATGAAACACACTTAGGAAGTAGTGACTTCCATCATTTAACAATGCAGTAGGAATTGAGGTTAACCAAGACATCTTTTCGTCTTGTGTGGAGCTTACATTTTAATACCATGAAGAGGAGTCCTAATTTGATAATTGTTATGATTGTATAAGTAGTATGTCATCACTAATGATCTCTGTGTTTATTCAGAATAGACCACCAGAAGTCTAATGAGTTGTTCAGAACTTAGACAACCTAGGTTACCAGTATTTCAACTTTCTTAAGCAGCAGCAGACCTCTTATTTAAGCACATTCTTTTATAGACATTCAATATGCAAAAGAGATAAAAGGCAGGCTGGTTTGATTGATTTGGGAGTAGAGTGATAGACTTTGGTCTTCTGACTTCTATAGTGGTCTGTGATTTGTATATTTGAAGATCAGCAATTACAAGAATTTTGCATAAAGTTCTCATCAATAAAAAAAATTCTGGATATTTTAACAATTTTGGTTAATAAAGCACCAAAAAGCAAGGGTTATTTTTATAAAATATTTGATTCAGTTTGATTCTTTTTTTTTGCAATAAACAGTTTCTATGTTATAGCAAGTGTTCAAGAATTATAGAGCGGGGTTATACTTGTTAGGCTTCTTGAAGTGAATTTTTGAAGATTCAAACAAAGCGAGATTTCTCTTATAAGTTGTTCCCTTACATTTTTTAAAAGTAAAGGGTGTATAAATAAGAAGAGAACGACAACTTCTAAAAAACTTGTGTTGGTTTTCTATTGCTATTGTAACAAATTACAGTTTAAAACAATGCAAATGTATTATTTTATAATTCTATAGGCCAGAAATCTCACATGGGTCTTACTTGCCCATTGATCAAAACTTTGGCAAGGCTATTTTCCTTCCAGAAGCTCTAGGGAAGAATTTTTCTCCTTGTTTTTCTTCTGGCTTCTAGAGGTTTTCTGCATTCTTTCGCCCATGTACTCCTTCCTTTCTTCATGTTCAAGACCAGTAAATTTGCCTCTCCCTCACCCTGCCTCCCTCGTCACATCTTTCTCTGATGACAGCCAGGCAAAGAACTCCACTTTGAAGAACTCATGTGATTACATTGGGTTGCCTGGATAACCCAGGATGTCATCCATAAACACATCTGCAAAGGCCCCTTTGCCGTGAAAGGTAATATTCACAGATTCTTGGGATTAGGATGTGAACATTTTTAAGAATCCATTATTCTGCCTATCAGAGTATTTTAAGTTCCTTCCCAAAGTGCTAAATCACTAAATGTATTATAGCTTCATAAAATTAAATAAAGTATGAGTGTTTTGTTTCCTCTTTGCATGTGAGCCCTTTCCAAGTGACCAGGAAGATACTACTCATTCTTCAAGGTCCTGGACCAATGAGCCCTACTCTGGGACCTCTTTCTCTACTGCATCTAGTTGCTGCCCCTTCTGAATTTCTTCTCCATTTATAGGTGGTAGCTTCTGCATCCATCTCCAATGTGTCTTCCGGGCTCCTGTCAATAACAGGAGCTCCTAAAAACAGGGACTTAATCCAATTCAACTTTTTAAAAATAGCAGACATTGTAGGTGATATTCCTAGAGACACTTCCTAGGGGAACTTCCCACATTTTAGACTATCATCTATATGCCCATGACTCTCAAAATCATTATCTCCTGTTTTGATTCCTCCTAGAATTCTCAATTCACTTAGCCAACAGCCTATAAAATATCTCCTCTTCGATATCTAATAAACATCTGTGTTGTGGGTCTCCAAAGCTACTCTCAGATTCAATGATTTTCTAGAAGGACTCATAGAACTCAGAAAAGCTTTTGTACTCATGGTGACAGTTTGTTACAGTGAATGGATACAGATTGCAATCAGAAAAAAAAATGGTACAGAGGGCAAAGTACAGAGGAAATCAGATGCAGCTTCCAGTTGTCTTCTCCGGGTAACATTGTATGGCCAGCACTTAATTCTCCCAACAATAATGTGTGATAATACATGAAAAGTACTGCCAACCAGGGAAGCTCACCTGAGTCCTGATGTGCATGGTTTTGACTGTGAGTCGCTCATATAGGCATGCAGCACCTATATGATTAACCTTAGGTCAAACGGATATAGTCTCAGGGACCCAGAAAACAAAAACAGGTGTTTACCATAAATCACATTGTTAGCAAGACCCCAGGTATACAAAGACACTCTTATCATGCAGAATATTTCAAGAGCTTATAGACCTATCTCAGAAGCTGGTCAAGAGCCAGTCCTTTTTTGGAAGGTGAAGGGTTTGAACACCACAAGTCTGAATTAACCCTTTACTGAACAGCGTCTCCAATTTAACATGGCTAAATCCAGAACACTTCATTTTCCCCCAAACCTGCTCTTACATGAGTCTTTCCCACTTAGGTAAAAAGTATTAGTATCCATCCAGTGGCTCAAATAAACAAAACACAAACAAAAAAATCTAAAAATTATTCTTATTATTCTCCTCATCCTTTATGTCAGTTTCATCAGCAAGTGCTAGCAATTCTCCTTTTAAAACATTTCTAAAACAATCCCAAAATTTCCCACTTCTTTCTATCTCTACCATGATCATAGTCCAAGCCACTTTGGCTATAGTCTCCTAAATGATTTCCTTCTTTAACCTCCAATCTTTTCTACACAGAGCATCCAGAATGATATTTTAGAATAATAGAGATCGTGCCATTACCATGCTTAAATCCTCCAGTGGCTTTCCATCATCAGACCTAAAGCCTTCTCTGAATTAAAAAGCTTTATTCTAACCCCTGCTTGCTTCTTTAACCACCCCTCAATTACTCTTTATATCTCCACCTATGATTCTATCAAAATGGTCTTTTTTTTATTGCTTGGACTTGGCAAACTTGTTTTGCCTCAACTGTTCTGCTACTTGAAATACTTTCTCTATTTTTTCATGGCTGACTTCTTGTCATCATTTGTAATTTTCAGCTTAAATATCAACCTCCTCAGAGAGGCTTTTTCTGCCCATCCTAAAACAGGTAGCTGATTACTCACCTGACATCATCCAATTTTAATTCTTTGCATTGTATTATAGTTATTGATATCTAACCGTTTCTATTGTTTATCTTTAAAAAAATTTATGTCTTAACTTTTCTTTTCTTGTGCATAATATAAGATCCCATGAAGGCTTGGTCTTGCTTATTCCTTTTGTATTTCTTGGTTGACATGTAACAGACACCCAATGGATATATTTACTCAGTGGATAAATTTTTTAGCATCATCATGAGAGGTTAAAAAGTTGCTTGGGATTATAACTGGTGTTTAATGAAAAGTAGTTTAACTGAATTTTTGGTCTAATAAGAATCAGAAGAATTCCAATAAAGTTATCTGCCTTTAACTCTCATAATTTTTTTTTTTTGGCATTTTCTTTCCATTTACTCATTTGTACGCAGCAGCCATGATTTTTGGTCTTAGCTATTTAAAAACACCAAAATGATTCTTATATCTTGGTGAGTTTTAGCAACATGTTAAAAATTTGATTTTAAGGCTGAGATAGTTTCTAAATATTTTATAGTTTATTAAACAATCAACCAGAACAACATTGAAGAGTCAGGTTTATAAAAATCCCTTACTTTTTTTTTTTGGTATGGCTAGGCTTTTAGACTAGGAATATCACCTTTGTACTAAGACTGTCATGCCATTGTTTGTATATTGTTGTGTTGCATATTGCTTTTCTTTTAATTTTATTACTCATGTTGTTTACTTCTACTGAACGACAATGACAGAGGAATGTCACTAGAGCTTAATTCAGAGTTTAGTTATCATGGATTTGTGATGATAAGCAGAATCAGTGACAAGCAAGCTAACTTATTTTCATACTAAACTGAATTATAATTGCCAAACATTTATTTATTCTTGGCAAATCTAATAACCTTCTAAAATAACCTCACTTTGATAACCTTCTATTGCCATTAAGAGCAAGTTGTGACATCTGATTCCAAAAAGTATTGAGTAATTTACTTCAATATGCTGACAACAAATGCGCACCAATTGCTGAAAACACTGGAAGCAGATGAAAGCTCAAGAAATGAAAAGAGGATATATGGGTAGCTATAACACACCTCATTATCAAACCTGAGATTGGCACATACTAAAAAATGTTGCTAACTCAATCTTCCATGCCAGTATGTTTCAAAATATTGCATAACCAATCACTAGCTTAGGAAAAACTTTCTAGGTCCAATCTCTTTCTGCCTATTAACACACATGCCTGTGAGTTGATCCTTATGCTGCTGTTCTTGCAAGAGTATGACAAAACACAAACAAACAAACAAACAAAACCCAAGTGAGGTGCACTGTCCTCCACTGCACCCTGGCTCCTGATGTCCAGCCAGATTTTGCTGACATTAAACACAGTCTTTAGAGTTCAGGAAGGCTGGGCAGGTGCACCAGACACATCAGAGGCAAATGTGTAACAGCATGGAGCATTTCTGCTGGGCCTGTTGGGTTTGACATGCCAAAATAGCCCAGAAGGAATAGCAGTGCCTTTTGAAGTAGCTGAGATGCTTCCCTGATGTCACTTCTCTGAGTTTTAGATCAATGGCTGGAAGATGAATCAGAACATGTGAGGAGAGTCACTGAGGGGAAAGGTGGTGGAAAGGTTGCAGGAGTGAAGCACCCAAGCCCAGAGAAAAGGTGCAGTGAGTTGTGCAAGCAGGAAAAACAAAGGACTGAGTCATTGGAGGCCTAATTGACAATGGCACAGCTGTGACAACAATTTGCCGGCGGCCTGGCCTATTTGATGAAAGGGCCTCTGCTTTCCTTGGAACCCCAGAGTTGCAGTGGCTCATAGGAACGCGCCACTCATGTTTCCAGCTGTCTCAGCCTCATAAATACCTAAACTCACAGATGACATTTTTAATGCTCTGCAATTGCTATTCTGCATTTATATTTATTGCAATTCAACATTTCCATTAGTGAATCTATCACTGATAAATTTGTCACTGCTTCAGGAATACAGTCCATCATGCTGCATCAATTTCACTTTACAAGCTATTAATGTACTATAATGCAGCTTAAAATATCATGTGGATATATTTGATTAGAGAGGTACCAGAGTCAGTCAGATTGAACTGAGAATTGCCAGAGAACCCAAATTCTTAACTTATTTATTGTAAAGATGAACAGCCTTGGTGATCAGTGAATGTGTTAATACAACAGGTGTATCTCTTTCACTTTTTCAAACAGGCACTGGAAAGAACAAATTTTAGGAATCTATTTTGACTCAGTTAGTTTGAAGCACAGCAGACTTACAGTATTTTGTTGACACTTGACATGTTTATTCTTTTAGCAGACTCATAATCATATTTTAATATTTTCTGCATTCAATTAGCAGCTTGATTCAAGAAACAATGATGGCATATGAGTCCAGGAGATAGGACCAACTATGGCTTTCTGAAATAGGGTAAATAAAAATATTAAACCTTTCTAAATAAAACACAGATTTTTCAATACAAGATGAGATATTTCTGGATACTGTAACAATTTCTGTTAAAAATAAACAAAAACAAAAGGCACCTGTGCAATGAAACTTTGTACAGAAATTTACAACGCTCAGGAATGTGGACTACATTAGTTCATTGGCAGTCAGAATCTGGCAAATCACTGTGTCCACAGACTCTAAAAGCTGAACTAGAGCAGGTCAATCTGAGCAATTTTAATATTTCTGGCAATTGTCAAATGCTCAAACCATTTTCTAAATCTCATTTTTCCAATTTTAAAATATAGAGGAAGACCTGTTATGTACTTAGAAAAATCTGCTTGTGAAGTGCTATGAAATTCACCAGTGAAAATTATTTTTCTAGAGAGGTGATTAATAGCACATATATGTAGAATGATATGCATTTTAAACCTTACTGAGTTATTTTCAAATGAGTGGCAGCAGGCAAGGTAATAATTTTTTAAAACCTCAGTTTTCTACATGTTTAATGAAGACAGTAAGATCCAATCTGTGGAACTTTTCTTAAATTATATGAGATGCAAGTTGTGGTACGTCCACACAATGACATGCAGACAGATACTCATCAGGTTAAGATGGCTCTATGTGTGATGTACAAAATGATTACCAAGAATTAGTTAAATTAAAACATTTAAGACCAGAGTACTATACATATAATATATAAACAAGATATACAATATATATGCACAGAAATTTTGGTAAGATATAGGAAACACAGAAATCTGCAGTTTCTGTGGGATAGGAAGGTAAAACATATTTTCATATTATGTCCTTTTAGGCTATTTGATGCATTGCTATTTGTTCATATTACTTTTATAATAAAATTAATAGTTTAATTTTTTACAGGGTACAATGTCTTAAAAAGATTAACAACACATTGTCTAGCACGTAACTAGAGCTCAATCAATGTTGGCTCTTTGTATAATGCCATAATAATTGCTCCTTTCTCCATGAATGTAATAGATACCTTTGCAGCTGCTCCAATAACTATGTTAAGTTGATTCTGAAGTTAAAGAAGTCTGCATGGAGACACATGGATTTGCAAAGTCCATTTGATAAATGTCTCCAAATGTGGGTACATTATAAACTCAGGAAGCACCAATAGTTTGAAAGTCTGCTTAAAAATGTGGCTAGCAATTTGAAGGTGTCTTCATAAACACGGAGTGCACGGAGTGAGGGAAGCAGTAGTTCCTGTCTGCTTTCTATCAGTCATAGCACTCAGGAACCTTGTGTTGTGGGTGGGTTTTCTATGTTGTGAGAGATCTGAGGAGTTAGAGCCTGGGCAGAGGAAAATGACCAGGACAGTGCAAGGGAGCAGACTCCACATCAACATGAATAGCTAAAGGAATTGAGGGGGTGCTGAAGAACTCAAGGGAGCCCTTATAATGACAGTTCAAGGGCTGCCACACAAGAGGGATTCAACTTAATCTGTGTTAGTTCCTGAGGGCAGAACTGGGACCACTTGGTAGAAGTTAAAAGGAGACGTATTTCAGCTTAGAGCCACAGCTAAAACCCAGCATGTCATGATTTATAGCAACAAATGCCACCCTAGGCAAGGATAGACTTTTCTGTTAAATTCTGAAGATAAAATGTACCAAAGCATCTGGATTCTCACAAGGATAATGTCCCAAACCTAAACTAAATAAATAATCCCTGCATGTACATCTTTACAAAGGTTAGATACACGTAGTGGATGAACTTTGTGTCTGCTGCAGTTAAGCAGGCTGCAGAACTCCTTGCTAACCTTGGCTACATCTCGTCGCTGCCCCACCTGTATGCAACAAAACACATCATCCTTTTGATTTTGCCTATTCAGTGCTTTTAGCCCCCATAGCTTCATTCTAGTATCACAAACCTACAGAGTTTAGGTATCAGGCACCACTCTGCTCTGATACTGGACTTGTTTCTTTGCCTTCAATTTTATCCCTTTTTTCATCCTCAGTGCCCTCATGGCTGTGCGTTTTTGCTTCTGCTGTTATATTTAGCTTCTGCCTTGCATCAACATCAGTTGGGTAATATGGGTTTCCTCTCACTGAAATATAAGCTCCTTGAGGGTTGAAGAGTGATATATTATTGTGTCCTAGAATACAGTAATCCTCAGTAGATTAAATCACACCCCTTTATGAAGAGTAACAGGAGCAAAGACAAGTAGATTTAAATGTTTAGTAGTAAACTATTCACCACCAGCTTCCAGCCCTTAGTTTTTCCACAGATCATCTATCTCTAATGGTTGTAAGCAACAACAAAATACAAAATATAATACATAGTTGGAAGACAATCTTTAGATAATAATGCATGTATCAAACTTGTGTCATTCATTAAGGAAACCTACAATCCACATGTATGTTCTTTTCCAAATTTCTGGAATTGCCATTATGGGTAATTTTAGATTTATCCAAGGGTGATATTCCAAATTTTTTGTAGCCATAGCTGCATAGGAACTAACAAATGCAGTCTTTAATGCTGTAGCAGAGTTTGTTTGGGGGTCCCCTGCTGTGCTAGACGTTAACCCTTTGACTTAGGAAACTCATTATCAGCACTGGAAGTACCAATTGAGGCAAACCTCAAGAAAACATGCTGATACATGCTCAGATTACAATGGGTATTCAAACTACTTTCCTAAGGGTTACTGAGCCCTTCAGATGTGTCATTTACCCTTGTAGGCCAGTGGAATCCTATGGGGTGTCAGGGCTTTTCAATAGGTGGCTTCAGTTTTCTCTCTGGCTTCTGGTACCCTGTTTAAAAGTACATTTGATAGTTTTAAACAATAAATGCAGGTTTCAGAAGCATATTGCCTAAAATGAGAGAAGCAGTATAGGATTGCAACCTCCATATCAAAGAGTGGGACCTCAGAATTAGGATCATTGTTACAGTGAACTATACCAAATGTTTGCCCTAGATTTCCAAAAGTATAGCTCAAATCTGAAAATCTAGCGCACTAAAAATAGTCTGTTTCAACAAGAAATAGTCATTTTTCTAAACTTTCAATACTACCAAAAAAATGAAAAGCGAATATGTTGATGGGAGGGAAAAGGCAGTATTACAGAAGTTTCACAAATCAAATTATTCTTAAAATTGTTTTAACAATCTTACAAGAAATTGTTCTTACACTCATTAGCTCAATTTAAGAAATTATTGTTTATTAGGCATCTGCTCTGTGCCAGACATAGTCCTGATTGTCACTGGATATACATAGATGGGATGAGTCAGTCTAGACAAGGACTACAGTCTAGGAAACTGGCATTTCTTCATAACACTTATCAGAATTATAATTTTCACAGCAATTTAGTTAATTTTTGAAATGTCTATCATTCTGAACTGTGACTCCATGAAGGCAGGAATCTTTTCTGTCTTGTCACCAACAGGTAACACCTAGTACAGTGACTGGCACATGATAAAAGTTCAAAAAATGTTCACGGAATGACTCAATTAGTGGATGAAAAATTACTATATTTCAAAGCAGAGTAATAGACATTTTGTGAGAAAAATACTCACGAAGTACTGGGATCCAAAGATAAGCATCTTACCTATTAGGGTGGGAATTCGTGAGTGTGTCATTTGAGATATCCACTAATTATATATGTTGCATTTATATAGACTTAATTATATTGAGATTATACCCACCCCAATCCTTCATCCAAAAACATTCTAAAACTAAGGTTTCATGCTTCAGTCCCCAAAACATCTCATGAAGTGAAGGCAGGGAATGTTTAAAAAAACCAAACAAACTGTACTTAATTATTGCCCCAACTTTCACCTACCTGCAAAGCCTGTGCAGTCATTGTCACTGTCCTTCCTAACCACAGGGAGAGGGAGCGATCTTGGCTTGTATTTACAGACAACAGAGCTGAAGGAATTTCAAGCCATGTGTATGAGTGCAGACCACAAGATCAATGGAGCCCTGCAGAGAGTTCCACAGGCACAGCATGAATGACTTAGTCCTTTCCTAGCCTAGGAGCTGCTGGTGGGGAATCTTTTTGCTGTTAGCAATCCTACTGTGTGTTCACTCTTGGGCAGTGTGACATTATTTCTATAGTGTGAGCCACCCCATTTCTGATTGCTACATGACAGCACGCACTCCTGTTGCTATCCAGAAAATGACAGCTTTTCCTTGTTGCCTCTGGTGGTGTCTCACAGCATCCCTATCGCTTGTGATCAACAGCTTTAGCTCGCTCCCCTTCCTACTGTTTCTTTAACATCTGTCTCTGTCAGTCCTCCTCACACTCTTAGTTCAGCAGTCCTTGGTGGCGATGGGCTTGGCTTTGATACCAGTTGGCTTGCAGAGTAGGAACTCAGTACTGCTGACCCCTTCTTGTCATTTGAGGTTATACACAGTTGTTACTGACAAAATGAACACAAGATATCCTGAACTGGAATGTGACTCTGGAAGTGCTATTCACTGCAAGGCTGGATCTAGTCAAGAATTTGGGGGTGATTCCATTTTCCAGGAGTTAGGAGTTTGAACCTTGTGCATCAGTGCATCTTTTGAAAGGATCTAATTAGCTCTGAATTGCCTATTGGTATTCTGAATATATGCTACTCCTCTGATGAATGCAGATAATATATATTTCCTTTAGATTTTTGAAGAACAACACCTTGTAAACCTCACAAACAAACCATAGTCACGGATTGATTCTTCTCTTTCTGGAGATTAATCAATATGTATTGATGGTCATTGAGCTTTAGAAACTCACACCCTAATGATATGGAAGATCACTCGATGAAGTTTCAAGTGGCATTTCCATGCTCTTCGTCATATCTTATAGCACAGTCAACAAAAACTTCACTTTCTAGTGCCATTTTGATATCAAAGTAAGGGTCATACTAAATTTAACTCAGAAACATAATACCACTGATAACCACAGTCTCTACTAATATTGGTTTCAATTATATATTTTTTTAATTAAAAATCTCATTTTGTAATTTTTTTTTTTTTCCAAGACAGAGTTTTGCTTTGTCGCCTAGGCTGGAGTGCAATGGCATGATCTTGGCTCACTGCAACCTCCGCCTCCCTGGATTCAATCAATTCTCCTGCCTCAGCCTCCCGAGTAGCTGGGATTACAGGCACATGCCACCATGACCAGCTAACTTTTGTATTTTTAGTAGAGATGGGGTTTCACCATTTTGGTCAGGCTGGTCTTGAACTCCTGACCTCGTGATCTGCCCACCTTGCCCTCCCAAAGTGCTAGGATCATTTTGTAATTTCTAATGATCATTTACTAATTAAAGCTATTTTCAGCCATGATAATTAATGAGTGTTAGAAAGTGCCATCATTGATTATGAAATTCAGGACTATGTGTTTTTCCAGAGAATTTACTATATTTCACAAAGTTCTTTTTCCTATCTGAGTCAGTGAAGTGGTTGAAGTATGTCATTGCTTGGTGGTTAACAAATGTAATTGTTCTGTCAGGAAAGATGGGTTCAGCTTGGATAATTCTAAATGTTAAATCCAAATGTGAGCTTTCGATTTATTTCAATGAGCAGTGCTATCTCTTTAATATCAAACTATTAGCATATTTGAAATTGTGAAAAAGGCTAAATAAGCAATATTTTAATCTACTTAAAATTCTTCTTTTGACCTGGTATTGAATGTCCTACTTATATTAACTAGGCCTCTTTTGGTTAAGTCCAGTGGATACTCATTTAATCTGCCTCCACATAACCAAATCTCTAGATTGATAGGTACCCTCTATTTCCCTTATAAAATGCACTAATGCCACCAACATGCTAAATGCAAGAATTAGGTTGTTATTCTCTAATATGCTGATGCACTGTTTCTCCTACCAGTGAGCTGAATGCTTAAGAATGAATAATTATGTAATTTAATTTAATATCTATTTCCTTATGAATTATCATTGTGAAAAAGAGTTGTCATAGGTATTAAAACTAAATGAGTATTTGGGAAAATTTGGTAATGGCACATCATTGAAAAATGCTCAGGAATCGGGGTGTAGGTAAAACAATGATAAATCTGGAAATAATCCTTAAAATTTGGAAGGTTTCTTTACCCACATTGCTTTATAATTAGCTTAAAATTCCCATTTCACTTTGAAGAAATTTAAACTGGAAATCACAATTATTGTATTTTGACTGTGGTTTACACAAGAATAACTATGGAAAATTTAATTAGAATATATAAAGTTAATTTGAAACTATGTATACATTTTCTTATTTCAAATAAAAATAAAAGGTTTGAAGTGTTCAGCACTTGTACGGCTTCCCACTTGAAATTAATGATTTTTAGATTAATCAATCATCTACTGATCTAGATAATTTTGGAAAATAGTTTTGTATGGTAGCAAGAACTGACTCTGGCTAGAGGATTTACTGGAATAACACTAAGGATTTTACTGTATCCAAGCATGAGCTGAACCAAAGTCCTGCAAGGGAAGGAAGCTCTGGGGAGCTCAGAAGCAGGAGTTTGTGACTACTCTTATTGCATCTCTGCTCATGTTGAGCCCTGGCAAATCTCAGTCTGTGTCTCTAGATTATAAGTTTCAAGTTTCTGAGAAAGAGAAGCTGATTCTACCAGCTTGGATTCGCTACTCTTGTATCAATCAACCATCCTGGACCAATCATCTATATCCCAGAGGAAAGGCCTGATTTGACAGTTATGAATCAAATAGCCACTTCTGGAAAGAAGGATGTACTACACTCTTAAAATAAATGACTTGAGGATTCTAAAGAAAAATTGGAAAGAAATTTTAGTGGTAAATATATGATGACGATGGGGAATTTTATCCACTAGAATTCTGGAAATCTGCTTCCAAAGCTAAGGGAGGTCACAGTAGAATATTCGAGTGTAATTCCTGAAGACAGGAGAAGCAGAGGGGGTCACACAGAGGTGAAGTAGGGCTTTTGGAGGGGTAGAATATGAGCAGCAATTGTCTAGAAGGAGGGAATAAAGAAGACAGCAAAAAATGAAGGAGAAAGGAACAGAGGAAGAGTGAGAGAGATATCTTGACATCTGTCCTGTATATGGGGCACTGGAGAGAGAGAAGAATTATGAGTTTTCATAACATTTTCAGGATGAAGCACTACATATATATTGTCTCCTCCATTTCAAGAAAGCCAAAACAAATGTCTACACTTTTTTAAAGGATTTAGTTGTTAGATTGGACAAATACAAGCCCATCTCAATAAGGCATGTTTAAACATCTATCCTGTAATACACACTTTAAAAAAGATTTTAGATTTAGCATTGCTTTTGGAATCATTTCTGTTCTTCTCTACTCATGCTGATATGAAGAAGAAAAAGTAAAAACAAACACATTTATACCATTCAAGGAAAAGTGGACAGTTAGAAACTCAGGTTCTAGTCTTTGCTTCTCCAATTAATGGGTCTATCAAGTAGTAGTTGTAAGCCTCATTTTTCTGACTCATAAAATGTAGTGCACTAATATAAATATTAAATAAGGTGACATATACAAATACGTACAGTACAAAAGCAAAATACTATTCTAGTGTGAAGTTATAAATGGCTTCTTATCCATATATCCTTAATCATTACAAAACCTGAAATTCTAGAGAGGTAGAATAAAACAAATATTAATAAGTATTATTAATAAAGTAATATAATTTCATTTTGAAGCTTTTACTTTCCTCCCCTTTATTATTTCTTCTGGAAGATTACAATGATTACTTAGACTTTTTTTTTCTTCTCCAGCATCCCCAAAACATTTAGATCTTCTAGAGTTCCTCCCCATGCACCTCCATAATATGATAAAAATATGGTTCTCTCTTTCTCTATGACCCCAAAATAAATGTGTAGGGACCTTTTGTTTTGGGCTTTTACTGTTAAGGACTACCTGGAAATAAACACTAAAAGCAAATATAACTCATATTGAAGTTACCAATCCTTAAGACACCTCAACATATTTTTAGGACATTTGGGCCTGGACTATAGGGAAGTGTACATGTGGCTAGCCCTTCACCATTTCCCATGATCTCTTCCCTAACTTTAGAAGGTCTTGGGGATGTTATTATTCCTTTAATGTTTTATTTCCTTATTTTTGGGCTTGGTTCTCCCAAAGATATCAATGAAAGATTTCCAATTCTTGAAGAGAACATCGTTTGAGGAACCTCCTACTTGCTGTCCTTTGTCCTTTCTCTCCCTGCCCCAATACTCTTTCTGTCTCTGGTGTAGAACCCTCTCATTCCAGAAGATGATCTGAAAAACCTATTAGGACAAAACTAAGATATCCCAGTGCACCCAGAGTCAAGCAGATCATTTATAAATTAAGCAAACTCTTGGCAAATACCTGCAATTTTAATATTCCCTTGTTCCTCTCAGAAAAAAGAAATCACATTAGGTCATTTCTGACATATAATTTGGGCCTCCTGTATATACCCAAGATAAAAAGAAACATGCATGAGTTAGTTTATATTACACTCTGTATTGCAGAAAGATTATAGCTTTCCATAAACTCAACTCATAAAATGACATTCAATATAAGTTATTTCTTTCTAGAGAAATTCCCATGGAATGCCTGTAGTTTTAAAATAGTACTCATTGTTTATTGAACTACTTAAAGAAATCAAAAGTGATTCTGCTTATGTTTTCTTAAAGAAGAAAAGAAGTTAATTTTTCATCTATCTGTGTTTCCTCCGTGAGAGTATGTTCCAACTGAGAAATGGGACAAAACAGGAAAATTTTATAGTTTCTAATGTGAAAGGAGGACTATAACCATCACTTCTGTTTAGCTTTCAATTTTTCAAGTTTTGCCAGCCTTTCATCTCCTCCTGATGAGGCATTTCTTAACATTCCTCATACATAGTTATACAAATTGGTATTAACAAGAAAAAAATACATGAATTATTTACATAATACAAATGCTTTAAACATTGCTGTGAGAAATAATATTTCAACATTATCCTTATCATCTTTTGTGTGTGAAAAGCCAACATTTACTTACTTTGGGAGAAATAATATATGTTCTTATGGCAAAGTCATTGAAAAAAATAAATATATATATAAATATATATATGTTTTCTAATAAACTGAATTTTTAAATGAAATATTATGTCTCTATATATTGTATGTGTGAGTGGTATTTAAACCTATTAATTCCTCCATAGTAATTCCTTTCATATAATGTAAATTATTTGAACCACAATTGTTAAAGTGCTTTTAAACAGTAAAGTTCTATATAAGCAGGCAGTATTGCCATTACTTCTATGGCTTATTTACACCCCTATGGACTGTTTTCTGCATTTGATATAATTTTTTATTTTTAAAAATTATTGACAACACAGTGAAATTTTCAAATACCAGCAACTATGATGTTTGCAAGCACTGAGAATCATTTAGAATTTTTGAATCATAAGAAATGAAATCAACCTCTACTTGTGCAAATTCCTAGTATGTTATGAATGCAATGCGATCTTGGTATTTGCTTATCAAAGGAATGTACTAAAATATTGCAGAAAAGGCCATGGGCCATGACGGACTTCATTTTATTACTTCACTTTCTTTTGCCTATTAATTCCACATTCCTCTCTCTTCTATTGGCCTTATTAATGGACTTTAACAATGAGATAAAAGTCTTCAGTCCAGTGTTTAGCAAAAAATTGCAGAATTTCAACATGAATGAGACTTCATTTTATAGAAGATATTGTGGTTAATGAATTGTCCGCATTTTGATGTTTTCAGATCTTATTAGGAAAATCTAACTCAATGAACAGTTTCCTTATTTGATGATTATTTTCTTATGTAGTCCTTGAATTCAAAATTAATTCAACAGATATTGATTGAATTTGTATATAGGCTTCTGATGTGGTCCTTTAAAATGATTGCTTTTAGTCTTTTCTTCTGTGCTTGTTCTTGTATTCTGTTCTTGTATTTTCCTGCTCAAGATTTAAAGCCCCAGTAAAGAGGCTTCAATTAGCCAAGCTCACGTGAAGGTAAAGCAAGGTGAGAGGAGAGTTTTGGAAAAGAAAGAGATGCAGGAACCCCTGATTTTCTTACGGGTAAGACAGAAACCTGGGTTTTTTCCATGAAAACTGCACTCATTAGGGAAAAGACAATCTGCAAAAGTAAGATGGAGTGTGATAAACAAAGGGGGATAAAGAATGGGTTCTATAATCAGGAAGTGTACATAGAGCTGGTGGAAATATACTATAGGCTTGATGAAAGTGTGGGTTTCAGATTGATGTAGAAAGAGAGCCAAAAGCATTTCAAGGATGAATTAATTTGGAATACTAATGTTCAATTGTTCATTTTCTTACAGTCTATTGAAAAAGGCATGAATCAAACAATCACAGAGACAATAGCATTATGAACTATAAGAAGTGCTTTGAGTGTAGTAAGTGAAGCCACTTTGCAGCACGACTCTTGGTAAAAGTCCGGTTTACTCTCTTTATCTGAATTTCACTCGGTCATTACTAGCCTTGTTGTGAAATACAAACATATGTACAATTTTTTACCTTCCTTACAAGGAAATTGAGATTACTGTGAGTTTATTAATGACTCTGATGCCCTCAGAGGGAGGTTCAAAGTATTGCAAACAAGGGATATGAGAAAATGATTTTCTCCCATTGTTTTTCAATTCAAGCTTCAGTTGTGTCCTTTATTTGTTATGTGACCTTGAGCAAATGTCTTAAATTCTCTGAGTCTTCAATTCATACATGAATACATAATATTCATTTTGATTGCTTAATGTTGATATGGAATATAACAGTTTTAAAAAAATTATTTGTAGAACTAAGTATATTGCTAATTACATTCCTTACATTAAACTTCAGGGGAGAAATAAATGCATTCTGGAAGAAAAATACCCCAATTTTGAAAATTCTATGCCATTTACAGGAAAAACAAACATACCATTCAACATAAAATATACATGCACAGTATAACAATGAAGTTGAGGCTTTAATGTCTCAAAAATAATTTTTAATATTTATCTTTTAATACTAAAACTATATTCGTCAAAATTTATATAACTGCAATCTCTACTTTGTCCAGTGTTTTGTAGGCCAGTAAAATGACAACTCATTTTCAATTATTAATAGTATCAGATTTCTTAGTTTAAAAAACTAGTGAGAACAAATAAATACATAGTTTTTTCTCAATTATCTTCACCAAGGAAACAATGATATGAACACTCTAAAACAGCAGATAACACAAGTAATACTGTTATCACTGGCTTGGCAAGCCTTGCTGCAATCACATTTTAATTCAGGTATTTCTGAACTTTGGAGAATTTTAGTCAGAACCAGATTTCCACAAGTGGGTCAGCAGTTGATAGCTTGGTTATGTGATGTAATTTGAGGGGGCAAATCCCGAAGTATCTCCCTAGTGTACATAGTACCTGAAAATCTCACAAAACTCATTGAAATACCTACCTGGTTGATAGAGTTTGGCTCTGTGTTGCACCCAAATCTCATCTCAAATTGTAATCCCCACATGTCCATAGAGAGAAGTGATTGTATTATGGGGGAGGTTTCCCCTATGCTGTTCTCATGATAGTGAGTGAATTCTTACGAGATCTGATGGTTTTATAAGTGGTAGTTTTTCCTGCATGTTCTCTCTCTCTCTCTCTGTCTCACCTGCCGCCATGTAAGACGTACTTGCTTCTCCTTCCACCGTGATTGTAAGTTTCTTGAGGCCTCCCCAGCCATGTGGAACTGTGAGTCAATTAAACCTGTTTTCTTTTTAAATTACCCAGTCTTAGGTACATGTCTTCATAGCAGTATAAGAACAGACTAATACACTGCTTATGAATTATAACTTTATCAGAGAAGAGCAGAAAATTAAGTCACTAATGGCCAGCAAATGTTATTCTCCCTCCCTTCCTGGGCCTCCCCTTTACTCCTTTCCAGAAAAAAAGCTTCTTTCATTCTTCCCCAAATATTCCTGTAACTATCCAACTTCCATTTCTTCTTATTCTGGAATTGGCTCTCCCTTTTCCTCCACTTGTTACCATTCTACATCAGCCTTTAAATTTCAGTTTAAAGCCAAGCTTCCATAAAACCTTTATTACCAACTCAAGTTGAAAGGCACTGTTCTGTCTCTGAACACTTACGAGCTTTGTGGTCTATGTGATTCATTTGGTGTTTAATCATTTGGTTTTGCCTTGTGATATCTATTTGATTACATGTTTGGATTTTTAAAAATTGTTCTTTTCTTCTTTTTATTTTCTTTATTTTCTCCCCATTTTTCTGGTTCAAGTCATTCTTTACACAGCTTCCAGAAGGGTCATTCTAAATGGCACTCCTCTGCTTAAAACACATTGCATACCCAATTAAGTCTACATTTCTTACTTTGACTTGTGAAGTCACATGAGTCTTCCTTCAAATCACATAATACAATGAGCTACTTCTTGCCATAGGGCCATTGCCAATACTCTTCTTTCAGCTTAGAATTTTCTCTGCCTGTGTCTTTGCATGGTTGGCTCTGTTCTTCAATGTTCCACCTATGTGTTATCTCCTCTATATTTTTCTCCAACTTTATTATAGAAATGAGATCTTTCTGGGCTCTTTGTCTTATGGCCTTATTCCTTTTTTTTTTCATGTCTATTCTAGCATTTTCCATTTATGTCTCAGAATCCACTCTTCACCATTCTGCATCCTGCTCTCTGCTCTGGAGACTCCCTGGGAACTGTATCCATGGTCTCCTGCCTTCCAGACTGGGGTTGGATTTGTCCATTGTGAGGTGAGATACAGAAAGTGGAGAGTGAGGGCTGGGCATTTATTCTCCTGGCTCCCTTCCCTCCACATAATCCAGTGTTGGTTGTTTCCTATAAAGTAGTTACTATTTATTTTTATTTTACAGATGAAAAAAGTGAACTCAGAATGGTTGGCCGAATGCGGTGGCTCATGCCTGTAATCCTAGCACTTCGGGAGGCTGAGGTGGGCAGATTGTGTGAGGTCAGGATTTCAAGATCAGCTTGATCAACATGGCGAAACCCCGTCTCTACTAAAAATACAAAAATTAGCCAGGTATGGTGGTGCACACCTGTAGTCCCAGCTATTCAGGAGGCTGAGGCACAAGAGAATTGCTTAAACCCAGCAGGCAGAGGTTGCAGTGAGCTGAGATTGCGCCACTGCACTCCTGCCTGGGTGACAGATGGAGACACTATCTCAAAGCAAACAAAAAATCGTTAAGAGATTTATACAATTAACAGTGACTGAGTGGCACTGTCAGGATTTATATTTCAGCATTTAAAAAAATCACTCTGCCTCATTTAGCAATTGGATAATCACAAGTGATCCAACTTTTATTTCTCAGACTAGTTAGAAACATCAGTCTGAAATTAATTTCTCTACCACTGAATTCATTGTTTTTTTAAACTTATGCTCACAGCAAAGGATGAGGAACAAGTTACCATAGCATTTATTCCATGCATGTTGAGCTGTAGAATCCTACAGAATTTGTTATCCAATGTGTTAAAAATCATCTAGCTTTATAACAAAAAACCAAGAGTTGACCACATTTTCAAAAAAGCGTAATAACTGTCTTGAAACATGTCCTGAATACAACTATAATAAGATGTCTTAATTATAACTTACTTTTAAGAATTATTTGAACTTCATTTTTAGGTTAAATAATAAAAATTTGTTAAAGATTTTAACAATATTGAATTACATATATTGTCTAACTCAATAATGTTGACCAAACTCTCAATGAGAGAGTTTTAAAAATCATGTGGCAAACCCTTTAGCAGAAGTGTTTCTGTATTATATTTGTTAACTAGAAAAAGATGCTACTTTACTATTAATTTAGAGAACAAATGCAAAAGATATAAAGTAAATTTAGGCACAATGCAAAATGTTGAGGGGTTTTAAATCTTAGGAGTAGTCTTGTGGGAAATAATTGTTTAGGTCTTGAAAATTTAAACCTTCTACACATTTTGCTAAAACATGATATGTCCAATATCTCTACTCTTTCCTCAAACATGAATAGCTTCGTAAAAAGGTGTTCATTCACTTAAGGACATCCGTGAGTTTCCTTAAATACGGAAAAGGCAAAAAACATGAAAGATGAGAATGAACTCCAGTGTAAATACAGATAAATATGGCGACAGCTGTTGCTGAATAGTTACAGAATTAGCTTGAGAAATGAAACCTCTGTAGTTCACACACAGGCACACACATACACACACACACACTTTGGATTTATTTATGAAACAGCATCTTCTAAACACAGAACCTTGCATTGCAGAAAAGGCAATTAAATAGAACAGCATGAGGTTGTCAATCACTTCAACAACTAACAAAAGCATTGACTATCAAAGCAAATAATGTTAATGTGCAAAAAGGTACCTTGCTATCAAAGCAAATAATGTAAACATGCAAAGGCAAAGAATTCTCTGTATCAAATGTCACCATTTTAATGTTCACCATTTTTGTGACTGTTTTTGCATATGCATGATACTATATCAGTAATTCTGAAATTTGATATAGAATTGGCCATTATCATTTCTTAGAGGATTTGGTCATCCTGTGATGCTTTTGTAAGAGGTGGGGACTTTCTTTTTCCTTCTTTTCTTTCTTTTTTGTGTTGTTGCTAGTGTTATACAAATAAATGGACAGTCACAGCTTATCATCATTTAAGATGCATGTGCATGCTGCAGTTTACTGAAACATGATTGGTTGCTACATAAATCAATCTGATAGAGATCGGTTCCATGAAGAAGAGATAAATCATTAGCCAGAGCTTTTAGAATGTAATTCATTTTAGATAGTGATTATTGATGATTTAATTTTAGCAGTACATGTACAAGTCTAGACCATGATTTTATATAAAATGTTAACACAGAAGAATGTATTCATCTTAAAAGTGAGTATAAAGAAACCAATTAGAAATTTACATGCAAAACATGTTAATGAAGTGGCAGAGTTGTGAAGTCCACAAAGTTCTATTTATTAAACAAGTTAGAATGTTAGCATAGTCCTCGGGAAATTTTTAAGAAATATTTCCTTAAGACTCAGTGGTACAAAGAAGTGTCCTCAAACTTCATTTGACTTACCACACTCAGATGACTGAAGCTCAGGAATATTTTAGATATACATCTTATGCACCTTGGCCTCTAAAAACAATAGTTCTTCATGCCCTTAGACCCAGCACTTCTATTCATTTCAATTGAACAGCATTTAGTAGGAGTCCACCTGAGCCAAGATCCTGTGCTTTGAGATGCACTTTTTGTTTTCTGTCATGTAGATAAGCAGGAAAGAAGGTATGTGTATTCAATGGTACTAACATCAATAACTCCAGGAGGCACTGGTATGAGACTGGCCAAGTCATACTGAGAGGTGAACTAGATGGGCAGTGCCCAGGGCTGCTGTCTTTAAGGGTACTAGGACATTATTAGAAAATTAACAGGATGGAAGAATTATATTTATCAGAAAAATTCCAAGGAACATAATATATGTACACTTTTGAGTGACATACTTTGAAAAGCCACTCGGAGTGAGGATGAACTGGTCAAATAACAGTAGCTGGTCAACAACATATTTTCCCAGAAATGTCTTCAGTTTACTGAGTGAGGTATTTGAGTTCTAGGTCAGAGGTGAAAGCTGCTTCCAATGGGACTCTTCTTTCTTAATCTTTCCCTCATGAAGTCCTGCTCTGAATAAATGGGAACAAATATTTTAACTATACTGGTTTGCAGAGAAACCAAATTATTGCCCTGTCCGAGTGCCTACATGTTTAAGTCCCTGCAGATCAGGGGAGGTAAAAGCACAATGACAGACTTCAGAGAAACGTTTTATGTCATGTCTCTCATCTTTACCCCAGGCTAACTCAGAGTTAACCTTCCCGGGTTTTTCTAATCAACCCCTAGTCTTTACAAAGAAAATTCCATTCCACCAAGAAGACATAATATGTTAAAAATCTGAGTTTCTGATCACTTTTGCAGTTTTCTTTTCCATCTCATGACTCTCCGTACACAGTCACTCGCTTTTCCCCCAAAAGTGTTGCTATCCTCAGTCTACACTGGCTAAGGCTAGAACTAGGGGACTCATCAGCCTGCAGGCTCCAGTTCTTGCCTTATCCCTTTATACTTGCAGCTTTGATATTCGCATATTGCCTTTGATTCTGAGTGATCTCAAGATGCCAGGACCTCTCCTTAAATCACACTGGGTGCTTCATTTTAGATACGAACTTACCAGTGAAACAGGGTACCCAGGTGGTCACCAAAATTTGTTTGAAAATTAACTACTGGAAGAAAGGAACATCCTGTCCTTTAAACTGCACAGCTTTTCCTCCCATCTTGATCAAAATAAGATAAAGCAAATATTTTATTTTGAATGAGAAATTTTGATATATTGGTGAGATAAACTCCCATATATGATAATACAAATAATCGTATTCTTTGCAGATCACATCATGTTTTCTTTCAAGAAAATAAAGTTTCCCCCTGTGGAGGTCACAAAGAATTTGAGGGTCTTAATTCTAGATGAGACAGAAGCAGGCTAGCCAGTATAATGTGAAGTAAGAAGGGTGTGTGTGTGTGTGTGTGTGTGTGTGTGTGTGTATAAAGGAGAGAGACGTTTAGGAGGAAGCTTCTGGAGGTGTGCACACTTGGGGAAGTCATATAAATCTAGTGTTTTATTCTATATTTATTTTCTTTCTTTTTTTTTCTTATTATTTCTTTCTTACAGTTATCCCTAAGCCTTCAGCAAAATTTTGTTAGATATTTGAACCTGCTATTGACTGTGCTGTGGGGAATAATGAGACAGACTCATGTCCACACTTAGCACAAAATGGCATGAAGGGAGCAGAAATGGCTTGAGGGAAGTCAGACTCAGGCAGCCAGAGGGTGCCGGCGGAGGGTGTGACTGTAGACAGAGACAGATGGCTGGGAGGGGTGAAAGCGACCACCAGCACAGGTTCTGAGACATATAAGCAGTCTCTGGAATTCTCAGAGTTACTAGGGCACGAGAAATTGCTAAAAGACTAAAGTCCCTGAGGGTGGGGGTCTCAGACTATTGTTGTATAGTCATTAAAGGGAAGGGTGACCCCTGGAGGCGAGAGCAGCCTACAGCGCAAGCTGTCTTCAGTCACAAATTCCTTCAAAATGCATTCCTTAGTAAATAATGAAAATGCCCACCCCCTCCCCAAATGCCAGCTAAGCATTTTGAAAATGCATTATTTTATTAGACCATCTTATTGAATTAATGCACAGATACAGCTAAAGGAATAAATGCAGACTTAGCAGTGTTTAGCCTCCCAGGCACCACCTGCTCCTTGATTCTCCTGAGCTAGGGATTCAAGAGCCCCACTCTTCCCGAAGACACTACAAAACATTTGCAATGGCACACTTATACTCTCACCCCTCTCCAAGCCTGTCTACCACCAGAGAGTCTCAGTTTGTTAATGCAGTACATTTTCTGGAGTTAATTTTTTTTTCCCCTTATAGTCTAGTGAATAAGCTTCTTAACAAGATTGGAACATATTACATACTTTGGCTTCCCCATCAAGCCTATTGCAGAGAATTCTGGATGCAGTGGTGAGACTTTCTGAACTGAAACTGCACAGCTAGGAAGTTATATTTTCAGCTTGATCTCAAAGTTTGTAAACTGGTCTGTTCACAGGGATGCAGAGGTGTCCACAGTAGCTCTAGTGAATGTAGAGCTGTACCAGGCCTGGTAGAATATCTTTGAACCTTTGAAAATGCATTAGTCTTTCTCTACTAACATTCTCAATTTCACCAGCTCAGAAACAGATTTTGTATCTTAAGTATAAGTTATGATCCCCAACTGTCTCGCAACTTAAGTTCTGATCAAAAGTAGATTTGTTCTACAGCCTGGCTACGGAAAAGGCCTGCTTCCTCTGTATCCTCATTCAAAACTTAAAATAAATAGTATAATGTCTGTGTATGCAATTTCTAATGGAAGTATTTTCTGAAAGGCAAAACTCAAGAGTTATTTGTTTAGTTTTGATTAAAGTTGTCAAAGGCATTCTACTGAAGTAAAATAAATTATATTTATATAATATTGATTGTTTTAATCTAATAATTTTAATTTTAAAATGTTGGTCAGTGCAGCTGTTTAGGCACCAAATGATCAGGTAGTGATGATTGTCTGAAACTTCAAAAATCAGAGCAAGAAATTGTCATTTATTGTGTTCTGACTTTATGGAAGTCTCAATGAATGCTACAAACTTTTCCAAGTGATGTTTTACAGAATTGCTTTTAAAAACCCCAGAGGGTAAACAGTATTCTCAGAATAAATAGAAAAATGCTGACCTTGTCAGATTTAGCTGCTGAAAGCCAAGCTGTTTTAAGACTTGGAAGATCAAGGGTCACAGTTATAAACAACACAGATAAAAAAAGAAGAAAAAAGAGGAAGAAAGTAAGAAAGCTGGAAGGAAAAATAAAGTATAGTGAGTTACACCATGAATATAAGTAATAAATACATTGACCTTGACAAAAAGGGAATGAGATACTTATGTGGAAATATAAAATAAAAACAAGGCAAAATTTTTTTTAAAAACTCGCAGCCCAAAACTACTTGAAAAAGATGTTTCTTAGAGTATATTTAGAACCGGAAATGAGTCACTTTAATTTCATCTGTTTTTGGTTTCAGAAGGGGAGAAAGGTCAAAGCTTCTTTGTTTTAAGTGAGCTGGTCACTCCTTCTGAAGTGTAAAATGATAGGGGTCAGGAGTCCTAATGAAACAGGCATTTCCCAGACACCCAGAGCTGCAGAAGAGGTCTCCATAGTGGCAGGCCAAGAACTGGGCTTCAAAAAGGTGTTTTAAACAAAGGCAAGGCAGAGCTTGACCCTTTCTTGACTTTCACCATATGGACAACAGGATGTAGAAATTGGCCATTCCTTTCTATATTTTCATAAATTATCACACATTATAGCCCCACAACCAAACCATTATAGTGCCATTCACACCTAGGCCCAAGACACAGAGGTATATTTTTTATATTGCCCTGGTACAGGTGATGTTTTCTGTTAAGCCTAGATGAACTGAAACAATATTAGGAAGAAATTCTCATTGCTGAGAACAAAAGTACGCACTAATAAAAAAAGTGAGTGTTCTTAAACCTACTGGATTCAACATCCTTTGAATGGGAACGTTAAAATATAATACATCCAAAACAGTGTTGGGCTCAAGCTGACTGAAGAGACAGATTTTAAGAAGTGAGCCCTATCTTTACTCTGAGCACGGAAGGCCAAAACAAACTGTCTTCTTCAGCAAGAAAGTAAGAATACATTGCTTTCTATGTCTTCACCAGATTTGTCCAAGGTAAGGAGGTCTGGACTGTGGAGAAGATGGAGTTTGGAAGGATATGCAGCTTATAAATGCAGTTAGACACAGAGGATTTCCATTGCATCTCCAGTTTGTTGGTGGCTGGTTCCTCCTTTGCTGGTCTCTTTTATTCCATCTGGAAGATTCTGTTCATGTACACCTCTGAACTCTAAACTAGTTGTTCCTGACTTTGTCTCTGCAACATTTTTTCAGGCCTGTTGTATTCCTGACCTTGCTTCCTCTGTGCAATATATTTACTCCAGGTCATCTCTACCATGCCTGTCACCATTTTGCTTAATGGTTGGGGTTTGATGTTTTTGACCTTGGGTTGAACCCAGGAATGAATAACTTCTCTATACTGGCTCAGTGGCTGAATTATCAGTGTCTTTCCCTGACAATGTGCATGTTTTCAATGATTAGAAATGCAGCCTCCAAATAAGGAAAAAGGATAATATTTGCATAGGCCGTGCTTAGTTGCAGGTTTTGGAGCCGGAGATGTTCCAGCATAGATGCCTGTTCATAGAAGTGCTCCAAAATTGTATTTAGTGTAATGACACGTCCTCTTTAAAACCCTTTATAACTTTCTTCTTCCCTGGCCTCGTAAGAGGATAGAGAAATGTTTCTCGGCCATTACATGCGACTCTTTACAGGTTATCATATTCATTATGTCATTAGATTTACCACAACCCTGAAAACTTAATAGAGAAATTATTATCTCTAAAAGTTATACCACTAGCAGGTGGCAGGTCTGGAACAAACATCCATGCCCTATTGACTACAATACCAGTACTCTTAGTACCATGCTATGCCTCTCTCTCATATTATTATAAGAATAATAAACCTATAGTTGCAGAGTTGTAGAGCTGTATGAAGCCTTAAATATCATCTAACTTAGCCACATTATTGTTACAAAAGAGCAAATGTGACTGAAGAAGTGGCTTACACAGAATTATTGGCAGAAAACATCATATCTTCTGACTTCAAATCACACACACACACACACACACACACACACAGGAGATGACAAAAGGAAAAGAGATTGAGTCAGAAACTAATAAAGCTTAGGAAACACTAATGCAGCCAGGTGCAGTGGTTCATGCTTGTAATCCCAGGACTTTTGGGAGGCTGATGCAGGAGGATTGCTCGAGGCTAGGAGTTCAAGGAAACAGAAATGAGAAAATTTTCAATATAGTCATGGTTTCATGGTAGAAAAGGTTAGTAAAGACTAGATTCTGTATAAAAAAAAACTTCAAAATCATTAGTTTAATTTTTCTTAACTACAGAGACTATGAAAAAAGGCTAAGTTTTTAATAATTTTTTTCAAAGCTAATGCCTTATTGGCTCTTTTAAAAATTATTTATTGAGTATCTTCTGATCTATAAGACGTAGTTGATGATATAACTGTGACCAGCATATAGTGTCCACTCTCAAGGGATTCTTTGTGTCATAGAGGATTGTGGCAGTTTTAAGCCATGGCTACAATTATTTGACACTCCACCCATCAAAAGATGGGCTCTATGTCCCCTCCCATGCACCTGAGTGGGCCTACAATTACTTTCCTTCTGAGGCTGAGTAATATAAGGTCATGCACTTGGGAACTTGAGCTGGTAAGAAGCCCAACTACCATGATGTCACCATCCTGGAGGGGCAAGACACATACTCCATATGTAGGCAATGGCACTCTTACTGACACTCCCACCCATGCCCAATATTCCCACTAGTGCTGCCAAGGCACCGAACATGTGAGTAAAGTTTGACTTTCCATGTCCATCTGCTGGGTGAATGCCACCAAGTAACTCTGTCACTTGTCAGTGACCTGGAATAGAAGAATCACTCAGCAATGTTCCGTCCAAATTTTTGACCCACAGAAATTACGAGACTTAATAAGATGGCTGTCATTTAAGTTACTAAGTTTTGGGATTGTATATTATATAGCAATAAACAACCATAACAATGAGATAATAAATATATTTTAAGGAATTCAGAAATAATAGAAGTAATAGAAGGCATGATCCCTGATCTCTATGAATTTACAATTCACTTGGGGGAAAGGGGTAAGAATCACTAATGAAGCAATTAGAGAGATCAATAAGAGCCAGAAAAATCAAGGAAGTATAGGAACAAGTCAAAATTGAAATGGATCTTGGAGAGGCAACTTGCCCTAGTGATGGAGCAATTCAGAAGAAGACAATGATATTTAGTAAACTTTAAAACTGATATTATTAACAGTAACAATGATAGCAACCACTTATTTAGTGCTTATTATGAGCAAATAACTCTCTAAAGTTCTTTATATATTATTTCAGTTGCCTTTTAATGAACTTTCAAAATACGAATTGTCATGCCTTTTATACCTAGGAGGAAATAGAGCAGCTTCCCAGGTAACATAGGTAGTGTGGCAAGACCACGACTCAAACGGACTATGTGTGACTCATGATTTTAACAGGGGTTCTACACTACTCCTGTGAAATCACTTTTCACCAAAGTAAGAAATATAACTGTATTATATCCATAGCTTACATAGAACTTGATTCATATTAACAAAATTCAGAATAAATCCTTTAATTTTTAGATAGTAAGTAAATAAAAGGGCACATATTTTTACCTTGTCCTGAGTCCACAATATAAATATGATTATTAAAATTCTTTTATCAATATTTCTGAAAGTCATATAAATGTGTGATTTATTTTACAGAAATTTCAATAAGTCTCATTTTTCTAATTGACACATTTTAGCTTTTTTTCAAAAAAATAATATTTTATTTTAATTGAGACATACTAAAATTTCTAAAAGGTACTCGGGAATTTTCCTTACAAATCCTAAGAAAATACCCTCTGTTACGTAGTAGAATGAGTACAAGATTGGTTATTTCATTGAAAGTATTTTAACCTCTATAAGCAATTAAACCAACACGAAATAAGTTGAAGGAGCTCAAGTTTTAACAGACCGAAATAAATGAATAATCAAAAACATATTTATTTTTGTTTTAACTTAAAGAAAACACATGTGAAAAGGTGCAAAGATCTGCAGAAAAATAACATTTAAGTGGCCACCCGATATAGATAGGATATCAGTGGCTTGGGCAGTATTGTTCTCTATGATTTAAAGGGCCAGTAAAAACAGTTTCAATTCTGAAGCGATAATCACAAACTTTATATCACTTTCTCTGAAACCTCCTCTCTCCGGAAGAGAAGGAAAAGCAGTACAATGTGCTCATTGAAGAAGACAGCTCTGTACAGGCAGAAGAAGAAGCAGAGTCCTGTGCAGCTTCATTCTAATGTAGACTAAAGTGCATGGTATTGTTAGTGAGAAAACTTCTACAAATAGAGATAATTCTTTATCCAGGAGAAATGAAAAGAAATTACAACATAGCCAGCATAGGAGTGTTTCAAAAGTACAAATCAGTGATGCACACACACACACACACACACACAGCCCCAGATGTCAATGGTCTATTTTTCATTAAATAATTGAATTAAGATTACTTGAAAATAGATTCAATGTTTGTTGAAAGAAGTAAAATAGCTGTAGTTGTGTTATTGTTTGACAACATGGGTATTATCAACATTTGTTCTTTCATTGTTTATTCTATTATATGGAAATATCAAAATTTATTAATTTAACCCTCTAATAGTTGGGCATAGATTATTTTTCTTTCTTTCACTAGTACACAGAACTCAACTGAATAAAAATTTTTGTGCACATTCATAATACTTTCTTTAAATATATTTTTATAAATTAACTGACTGGTCAAAGGCACATTTTTCAGGCATTTCTTACATATGCCAACTTGCCTTAGAGGAAGGTTGTGCCAGTTTATAATCCTATAGCCTAAGAGAGCACTTGTATTTTTTTCCAGTGAGTATAAAAATTTAAGGCTTTTTTCTAATGTGAAAAATATCTTATTTTAAAAATGTGTAAATTTACTAAACCTCATTTTTCCATATGTTGTCTTTTAATTTTCTAAATGCATTTTTTGATACATTATTTTTTAACCAATTATTTTAATATGCTCCTTAAAGTTTCTCACTTTCTTGTTATGATAAGTCAGCTATAATTTATTCTAGATTTTTATGGTTTAATTATAAAAATACATTTTTAGTTCACCTAGATTTCATTTTGATGTATAGTGTTTGAAAAAAACCCTAGTTTTTTCTCCTTTTAAAAAAAAGTACATTAAAAGCTATACATCCAAATGAATTTTTTCTTCAAAGTCATTATCTTAGGTAGTTAATAACATATTTTAATGATACTCAGAACATATTTGTAAGTTTTCTCTAAAATTGTCTTTAATGCCAGTAGAAACTTATAAAGCCACATAAACACATCACTTTGGGATTTATAACTGTGCTTTGATTTTGATCAGAAGTGAAAAGACTCAGCTTGATCACTTATCTCATTCAGCAGACTTGGCTTTGATTGGCTTTCTGCTCTTTCTAAAAATAAAATCTGACCTCAATTGATGAAGATGCACCATCACTAAGAATATTTCAAAGGGTCTATACCAAAGATACCTAAGAATTCCTGAAAGAGGACTTCCAAAAATATTCGGAACAGTGGAATAAGGGTCTGCCCTCTTATAGTGACTAACTTGAAATTGGCAATACTCATTTTATTGTATCCATTCTGGTTTTGTTGTTTAAACTTTGTTTTCATTATTTAATAATTTTACTGTTTATATTTCCTCTAAGAATCAACTTGCTAAGTGAGCAATCTTGTGTATTAAACATCTCTTGTGTGATTTTAAGATGTCAATATACTTTTAAAAAACAAAACAATCCAAAACATATTTATACCAAAGCAGTATGTGTGTGTGTTTTAACCAGCAGATCTTGGACATATATAGCACAGTATCTCACACATAGGAATACAATTATAAACAACATTCTTATTAAACATATATTCTTCTTCTAGTACATTTAGTAATGAGAAACAGCAGTAAACATAGGACACAAATAATACGTAAAGGTAGTTAATGAAATATATATTCTAACAATACTTTTTTGGGGCAGAAACTTCATTTCCAGAAATATTAAATAAAGCATAGGATATAGTCTGGGATTTCAGGAAAGGAAAGAGAAGTTTTATTCAAAGATGACAAACTAGTGGACCTGAATTCTTCCTGTGCACTTAAGTTTACTTTTCTTTAATGTAAATGCTATTGAGTGAGCCCTATACCCTGAAGCCAGAGCTGGACCCTTACCCTGGCCCCCAAGGTATTTGAGTTTGCAATTTCCAAATTGGAATTTTCCAAAAACATTAAGCACAAATTAAACAAGTAAAACCTCATAAATTTGAGAATTCTTTTCATTCTTTTGAAAAAGGGGCTGTGATTTAAAAAGAAGGAGAGTACAAGATTTATCCTTTAGGTATGAAATGAAGGATTTATTGATTCTTGATTTTTGGAGTACACTAACCTTATGAACTATAGCCGCTTAATCCCTACGTGGAAGTTCAAGCACACCTCAGGCTTGGGGGTCAAATTTCTCTTTGGTCAGGGAAGTTTGAGGAGCACCAGGCCAAGAGCACAGATGGAATTCCCCTGGCCATCCCTGCTTCTCTTCCCACTCCTAGCATCATTCTGCACCTCGAAGGGTCTTGTGTGTCCATGGATGGATATTATAGTCACATATCCAAATTCAAACTCTGTTCATCTTTCGCCTTTCTCCAACAGCCACCTCACAGCTGCACCTCAGGACTAGCGGTGCCCAGACAGGTGGTGCTGTCAGTTTCCTCAGGATAAACCAAGACATTGCTATTCAGACCCCAGAAGGGGGCTCCAGGTCATTTGAGCAGAGTCTAGAAGGATGACTGCAGGTTCTAAATGGACATGTCTTCTTAGCATGGTCTGGAAGGCTAGACACAGGCCCCAGATGACTTGTCTTAGCAGAAGGTACCCCTTACTCTATGGGAAGCTGCATGGCTGGAGGAAGGCCCGGAGGTGTTCTCTGAAGCACAGGATTCAGGGCACAGGCCCTTCTTGCTTCGGTATAAGTTTTATTCATTTTATTTTGTTTTTTTATTTTTTTGAGATGGAGTCTCACTCTGTTGTCCAGGCTGGAGTGCAGTGGTGTGATCTTGGATCACTGCAACCTCCACCTCCTGGTTCAAGTGATTCTCCTGCCTCAGCCTCCCAAGTAGCTGGGATTACAGGTGCCCGCCACCATGCCCAGCTAATTTTTTGTATTTTTTTTTTATTAGAGACAGGGTTTCACCATGTTGGCCAGGCTGGTTTCAAACTCCTGACCTCAAGTGATCTGCCCGCCTTGGCCCCACAAAGTGCTAGGATAACAGGTGTAAGCCACCGCACCCAGGCAGTACAAGTTTTCTTGTTTCCCTGAATTAGAATCCTAGTCTTGGTTCTCAAAACAGCACTTTCGTTCTGCTCTGTTCTCCTCAGAGACCAAGTTTTGCCTGGGACCCTCATTCTAAAGATTATGTCTCCACTTCTTTCTTCTGATGACCTGGATTTAACAGGGTCTCAGTGCCTTCTGAACCTATTCTCCCTAAGTCATTAAAAGGCCAATTCAAAAAGAGGACTTTTGTCCCTTCTGAGCATATATACAATTATCCTAAAAGAAGTCCAGCAGACTTACCTTCAGAGTTGGCCTTACTCTCAAAAGGAAGGCCAATTTACTTGGAGATGCCCAAAATTCCTTTAATGGAGATGCACTATTTTATTCCATAATTAGAGACAAAAGGATTAATATAACTGGACCTGACCATGGTTAGACACTTACAGAAGCTCATTCACAATCAAGGGTCATTAGTCAATCAACCAGTTAACACCTATAACTGGCAGACATTAGAGCCCTTCCTGTTTCGATGAGTGGGTGGGGGGTAGATAATAGAAAGAATCTTAGAAAATCAAAGCTTCTGCATATACGGGTAGACTAACCACTGAGATGGGGAAAGAGGAATTTAAATGGAAAGTTGAACACTGAAAACTTCACAGATTTGCCCACCTTGTCATTACCAGACTGAGTGTGGAAGGGCCACACAATCTCTCTAAGGACATAGGATTCAAAGAATATAATCTAGGGATGATTAGTCAGTGATGCTATCATGTTTGAAGAACAGAATATTACACTACAGATTCCGAGATTCCACAGCCAGGAGGCAATGGATATCTTTGATTTACATTCTGAAACATGAACGCATAGATGTAAAGCAGCTATTCACATCGTGTGGAGTCTGTGGGTAAGTCATAAATCAAAGCATGGAACCTCAACTGTGGTACCGTGACTAAAGATCTTGTGGCTATTCTTTGAATAGTTACCCATTATCTGCTATTATCTTTAGTTGGCAGCTTAGGGTAAACCATTTTTATAAAATAAAAATCATAGTATCTAACAATTTTTGAACAAAGTCTTGAGCTAAACAAGCTACTTGGATTACATTATTTAATCCTTATAGCAACTCGAGGAAACAAGTTTGAGGAAACTGACGGGTAGAAAATTTACTAACATTTGAGGGTCACAGAGAGAACCCGACAGCACCAGAATTCTAATCCGGGCAATTTGATCTCACGAAAGCTCATGGAAATTTTCATTGTTCCCCACTAAGCATAATAGTAAGAGCTGTACTTGGTGGTTTCTTCTATGTAGTTTTCTGCTCATGTCATTGTTTGCTTTAGGACTTTGGGTTGAAGAGAGTGTTTTGCAACAGTAAAGGGATGACTAGATAAGCATCATTATTACCTATGTTTTGACTGTTCCCAGTATAACATGTTTTCAGCTGATATGACTCTTCAGTAAGTGGAATAAAAATAAGTGGTACAAAACTATCCTTAACACAGCTAGCAATAAATGAATGCAACAAGAAACTGAATATGGTCTCCCTATAGGAAACCAAGCAGAACCACTTACTTGAAATGCAAAGTATTGGAGCATGCAAAAAAGTTTGATTTAAACCTGCTTTTCTCAGAATCTTTTCAAGATTTTATTCTTCATGAGTAAACAAGCTAGAAGGCTCTGATTAGAAGTAGGCTAGACTCCTGATAGAACTTTCGAGGGAAGCAATATTTTTGTCATAACAGCCTCATTCCTGGAACTTCAGCTAATACTACAGTTATTGTGGGCATTGAAGGGTTATTGAAAAGTAGCCATTAATTTATTAATTACTTTGCTTACTAATTACACAAACATTTATTGAACATCGATGAACTTGATGATGTAAAATATACTATGCTTTGATCTATGGAAGATACAAATATTGGCCATATAAAGGCTAAGTTTTCCTGGTTGTATCAAGAGAAACTAGCTGAAGCTAACATTGATTTAAGGGCGATTCATTATAAGGATAAATGGAAACCTGAGAAAGAAAGTATACAAAAGCTGAGGAAAGGATATTCCAATAGTCCATGGAACTTTTCCTTTTATTATTGTAGCCATGAAAAACAACCTAGTGCCTTGGCACTTTGTTTAGAGTTGAAGAATAAATTCAGGGCTGACCCAGGAACAGAAAAGTCTGCAGCAGGAAACCCAGAAAGTGGCCAATTTCCAGGTTTCATCTCTTTACCTTTGCATTTGCAATCTCTCTACTCACTTGACAGAGAATATGACTGCTCTACCATGCCTGGAGCTTGGATATTGCAATCCACCTATCCTTAACTGCATGTCATTCTAATAGGCTCAAAGAGGATGCCCAGTCATAAGAGTTGGCTTACCAGTAGTGGCCAGGTGTGAGAAGAAGTGGAAAAAATAGGGCTGCTGGAGGCTTACCTTAGAGAGAAGGAAGCAGTTCTGAGGGTGGTGTTTATTGCAGACTTGGCAAATAACTTAGTATTTATTCCAAACTAAAAGTGGACACTGCAGTAAGCAGAGCCTTTGGATACATACATAAATTATATTGTTTCTCAGTGTTCTACATTTGAAACATCTCACTGTATTCATTCTCCTTGCAAATATGCTGCTCACACCATGTTTTTAATAACCTCTTATAAACTGATAATTGTTAAATCTATATTTTCAGCATAAACTTCTTTCCTGAGCTCCAGGTCCAATATTATACTTCTTAACAATGCATGACTCCTATGCATGACTCTAAGATATCGCAAATTCCATATGTTCAAAACTGAAATAATCTTCCCTCCAAAATGTGTGCCTCTTTCAGTATTCTCTCTCTTTAGCATGTAAAAATAATTTTTTTTAACTCATAGCAAAGACCATAGCAAATATTGGGAAATCATCCTCATTAGAGGCAAAAATATGAGAGTCCAAAAAGGGCATCTTGAAAATTGGAACAGAAAACTAGAATCTGAAGACTGGCAGTAATACACACATTAATAAAGTGTGTGTTCATACATAACCTGACAACAATGTATAATTGGGAGTCCAAATAAATTAATTTGGCCATTGGAGTAAAACTTAGTAGTAAGGTGACTGTATATCCTAGTCTTCCTGAAATAGTTCCAATTGATTTTATGTTGGCCCAGCATTCTGTCTGGTTTCATATTTGTTTCCAATGTTTTATTTATAATGAAGTATTATTAGCAGTTTAATTAAAGTAGTCTTGGCTGGGCTTAGCAGAACTTCACTTTTTTCTCCAAGCTTCTGCCATAGGCTTGACCACTAATGCGTAAGATGTATGTACAGTGAACAGAGTTCTCACTCTAATATGTGGTAAAAATAAGAAATGGCTAGTGATTAACCATTTCTCTTTACTAAACTTTTTCCAGACACAGTATGGCTAAATTCCTCTTTCTTCCCAGGGCAGATAACTCCATGTGGTATCAAGTGGTAATGGGAGCAGCTATTCTACCCTAATGCCCTTGATGACACTTGCTATATTTATCAGTTGTGCTAGGGCCCATAGAGCGGTTGATGAGATGTAAAAAGACATCAGTCAGTGGAATCAATGGGAAACATGGAAATTATAAGCTGGGTATACATGAAACATAGGCAGGTAATAAAGGCTGAGTAGCCCAGACATGGAGGACATGAAAAGTAATTTAAACACTGTTTCTAGAATGAGTTTGGCATTTATGTACAGTGCAAATCTAAATATTCAATAGTTTTACTTTTGGTAATGTCTTTAAATGTTGCAATATATTCTCTTTTAAGCAAGAATTAAAATGAAAAAATAACAGTACATGTTTATTGAACAAATAAGTACTGGTTTTCCATATCTTAAGCTATTTTGATGTTGAATATATAACTTGCACAAAATGTTGACATTTGCCATCAACCATCATCAGGAGACATAATTGAACATATGTAAATAGAAGATGACAAATTTGCTAAGGCAGCATCATTGTGTACTACAAAAGTTAATACATCTCTTTCAGAGATTGTGTCCAAAGAAAACTCCTTAACATTAGCCCATGCAGTCGAGTGTGTTTTTGTATCACTCTTTGAAAAGTGACATTTCATTTAGATTAGATGACTGCTCATCCCAATTAATTTAACTTATTTTGATCCCAACATTCCTTTTGCTTATAAAATAAAGTGATAGCTATTATCTTTGACCCATTAGTAGAAGCAAAATTGTACAAACAATTAAATAATGTCAATTTTATGTCATGTCATCAGATACTTCAAATAGAAAATTCATTCCAAAAGTGGTTTGATTGTTTTTTCATTCAATTCATGGAATCTAAGTGAAGCTTTTGGAAGTACTTTTGTCATAGATGAAACACATGACATTATTGGAAATGCAATTGTTAATATTTTACAAAGAACAACAATATTTTACAAACAGTAAAGATAAAATTATTTGTTTTGCAGTGATCATAAGTCAACAAAACTTGGAGTAGTGCAGCATCATAGTAAAAACCATGTTCTGAACAAACTAAGAAAGTTATAGGGCAGAAATATATTTTGAATTGATCATGGATACATTCACAGTTATGTATAAATAGGCTTATATATTCTATAAATCAAAATGTAAGTGGTAATTTTTAGAAATAATTTTATTTTTGAAGTTCCTTTTTGAAGAGGACTATTTTATGGTTCCACCAATAAAATAAAAACAATTAATTCATCAATGTGAAATAATTTTAAAATTCTAGACTTTTCATTATTTTTAGCATTCTATTTGGCTGTCAAATCTGTCTTGGTTTGGATGATCAGTTATATGGTTATTCTACCTATTTTAGACAGAAAGCATATGTATTGCCCATCCATTGAATCAAGACATAAACCTGAAAGTCATTTGAGACTCTTTCCCCTCACTGAAACATCCAGTTACTAAGTAATCTTGAAGAACTAAATTCCAAATTCTCTATTACTATCTGAGTTCAATGCTTTAGCATTTATCTCCAAAATTACTTCAAAAGACCTCTGCCTAGTCTCACCATCCCCAGTCTTTCATCCTTTCAACTCATCCTTCATACTTCTGTCAAAGTGATAGTTCCTTAAAATCCTTTGAAAACCCTCAATTTCCTACAGAATAAAGTTCAAACTTCCTGTCAGAGAAGGTTTCTGCCTACCTTCCACAGTTTATTTCTTGCCTCTTCCCTCCATGTACCCTTTACTCCTGTTTTATCTATGCATCAAATACATTATCCTCCTTTAGGACATGAGGCAGATGAAATGTGCTTAGCCTATACATATATTTTTTCTTCTTCTTTGCTTGTATCTCTTACCATAAGTTACCTTCCTCTACTATAGCAGTCAATATGTACCATACTTAACTCCACTAGAGTCATGAATTTGTTATCTTCCTCTCTAAACTGTGACTTTTATGAGAACACAAAGTCTGTCATGCCTTCCACATTCCCAGTACTAAAAGTATTCCCTTACACATCAGAGACATGAAATAAATATGTCTTGAATACAAGGTAATTCAAGATTGATTCAAGTCCTGAGGCACAGGTAAAGTGTTATATTTGAAGAAGCAAAGGGACAAAGTATTTCCAGTTAGGAGGAAAGAGGGTGAGAAATATTTGAAAGATCTAGATCAAGATTCCTGAATGACAGTTATCCTAAAATTTAGACATTATTTTCTTAATAATGATAAATATTCTGAGTTTTTTAATAGGAATCATGTGTCAACACATAGAACTATATGTGAGATGGTTTGCACAGAAGAAAAAAAGGAACCTAGTTAGAAAATTATTGGACAAGCTAGGTGAACGATAAGCAGGGCTGTCCTGGAACCAGTTTGTACTGGTTTGTGAGAGCCAATTGCTAAGTTTTGGAAGCATTGTGAACCAGCTTTTACATATAATCATTATTAAAAGCTAAATTACGTAAATTTATAATTGAATAATTTATATAAAAAATAAAGGTAATAAGTACCCCTGAACTACTCACTTTATAATTATTTTCCTATATTTTACTGTTATCTATGTGCTCAAGATAACATGTACCTGTATGGTGGAAATAATATAAAATGGGGTACTCGTGTACATTTCTTCCCAATTCAGTGTTTCGTAACATTATGAGGGTAGCTTGAAACTGGTCATGATGAGAGTATTTACACTATAGCAACTGGCAACTGCTACAACTACGATTTGAGTTATTGTTTTGTTGATTGTCTAGATTTAAGGAAAAAAGAAGACAACTATAAAAATATGATTAAATTTAAAACTGTGTCATGTTTATAGCCATTCCTTTCTGAGTAGCACAAAAATTTATGGAAGTCTTCTATTATAATGTCAAAAATTATTATCAAGATGTTGATAACGAACAAAATTTTAACACATATCTTCACATTTGCACAACATTTATGTTACGACTGCATTTATTCATCAATTGCAACCATAGGTTGGTTGCTATAGGTACAAGGACTTGGCAAAAATTAATAAAAACATTGTATGAGAATAAATTGGATTTATAAAATTTACATTAAACAGGATTGTGTATTTTATCATAATTTTTAAATTGTGAGCTACACATCCTTTACACCAATAAAACAATATTATAGCTGTCATGTTTTTGAGACAGAGTTTTGCTCTTGTTGCCCAGTCTGGAGTGCAATGGCACCACCTTGGCTCACTGCAACCTCTGCCTCCGGGGTTCAGATGATTATCTTGCCTCAGCCTCCCGAGTAGCTGGGATTACAGGCATGCACCACTACGTCCGGCTGATTTTGTTGAGCCAGGGTTTTACCATGTTGGTCATGCTGGTCTTGAACTCCTGACCTCAGGTGATCCACCCGCCTCGGCCTCCCAAAGTGCTGGGATTACAGACATGAGCCACTGAGCCCAACCATTCAGAAATCTTGATCTGGATAATTAAACAATAATGATCGTATATATGTTTTTATATACATATGCAGAAACGCTGACAGTTAAACATTTAGCATCACACTGCTTGTAATATGACCTTAGTAGTAGAAATGGGGGGGTGGGAAGGATACTTTTAAAAATACTTGGAGGTGTAAAAACTGATTAAATGTCATTGAATCTATAAATTACCTTGGGCAGTATGGCCATTTTCACGATATTGATTCTTCCTACCCATGAGCATGGAATGTTCTTCCATTTGCTTGTATCCTCTTTTATTATTTCATTGAGCAGTGGTTTGTAGTTCTCCTTGAAGAGGTCCTTCACGTCCCTTGTAAGTTGGATTCCTAAGTATTTTATTCTCTTTGAAGCAATCGTGAATGGGAGTTCACTCATGATTTAGCTCTCTGTCTGTTACTGGTGTATAAGAATGCTTGTGATTTTTGTACATTGATTTTGTATCCTGAGACTTTGCCGAAGTTGCTTAGCAGCTTAAGGAGATTTTGGGCTGAGACAATGGGGTTTTCTAGATATACAATCATGTCGTCTGCAAACAGGGACAATTTCACTTCCTCTTTTCCTAATTGAATACCCTTTATTTCCTTCTCCTGCCTGATTGCCCTGGCCAGAACTTCCAACACTATGTTGAATAGGAGTGGTGAGAGAGGGCATCCCTGTCTTGTGCCAGTTTTCAAAGGGAATGCTTCCAATTTTTGCCCATTCAGTACGATATTGGCTGTGGGTTTGTCATAGATAGCTCTTATTATTTTGAGATATGTCCCATCAATACCTAATTTATTGAGAGATTTTAGCATGAAGGGTTGTTGAATTATGCCATCCTCATCAAGCTACCAATGACTTTCTTCACAGAATTGGAAAAAACTACTTTAAAGTTCATATGGAACCAAAAAAGAGCCCACATTGCCAAGTCAATCCTAAGCCAAAAGAACAAAGCTAGAGGCATCAGGCTACCTGACTTCAAACTATACTACAAGGCTACAGTAACCAAAACAGCATGGTACTGGTACCAAAGCAGAGATATAGATCAACGGAACAGAACAGAGCTCTCAGAAATAACGCCGCATATCTACAACTATCTGATCTTTGACAAACCTGAGAAAAACAAGCAATGGGGAAAGGATTCCCTATTTAATAAATGGTGCTGGGAAAACTGGCTAGCCATATGTAGAAAGCTGAAACTGGATCCCTTCCTTACACCTTATACAAAAATCAATTCAAGATGGATTAAAGACTTAAACGTTAGACCTAAAACCATAAAAACCCTAGAAGAAAACCTAGGCATTACCATTCAGGACATAGGCATGGGCAAGGACTTCATGTCTAAAACACCAAAAGCAATGGCAACAAAAGACAAAATTGACAAATGGGATCTAATTAAACTCAAGAGCTTCTTCACAGCAAAAGAAACTACCATCAGAGTGAACAGGCAACCTACAAAATGGGAGAAAATTTTCACAACCTACTCATCTGACAAAGGGCTAATATCCAGAATCTACAATGAACTCCAACAAATTTACAAGAAGAAAACAAAAAACCCCATCAAAAAGTGGGTGAAGGATATGAACAGACACTTCTCAAAAGAAGACATTTATGCAGCCAAAAGACACATGAAAAAATGCTCATCATCACTGGCCATCAGAGAAATGCAAATCAAAACCACAATGAGATACCATCTCACACCAGTTAGAATGGCGATCATTAAAAAGTCAGGAAACAACAGGTGCTGGAGAGGATGTGGAGAAATAGGAACACTTTTCCACTGTTGGTGGGACTGTAAACTAGTTCAACCATTGTGGAAGTCAGTGTGGCGATTCCTCAAGGATCTAGAACTAGAAATACCATTTGACCCAGCCATCCCATTACTGGGTATATACCCAAAGGACTATAAATCATGCTGCTATAAAGACACATGCACATGTATGTTTATTGCAGCACTATTCGCAATAGCAAAGACTTGGAACCAAGCCAAATGTCCAACAATGATGGACTGGATTAAGAAAATGTGGCACATATACACCATGGAATACTATGCAGCCATAAAAAATGATGAGTTCATGTCCTTTGTAGGGACATGGATGAAATTGGAAATCATCATTCTTAGTAAACTATCGCAAGGACAAAAAACCAAACACCGCATGTTCTCACTCATAGATGGGAATTGAACAATGAGAACACATGGACACAGGAAGGGGAACATCACACTCTGGGGACTGTTGTGGGGTGGGGGGAGGGGGGAGGGATAGCATTAGGAGATATACCTAATGCTAAATGACGAGTTAATGGGTGCAGCACACCAGCATGGCACACGTATACATATGTAACTAACCTGCACATTGTGCACATGTACCCTAAAACTTAAAGTATAATAATAATTAAAAAAACAAAAAAAAAACTGATCAAATGTGATTCAGAGGTAAATATGGTTTTGAGGCCTATTGACATATGTAGTTTGGAGAAATATAAAGAACAAGAAGAAAAGACTTATGAGAAATAATGTTCAATTATTGATTATTGATTGTTGTGGCTTCCAGTGGAATGTGCCCAGTAGATCAGGGTGAAATATTCATATTGAGAGACGTACAGATTTGGGAGTTACCTGTGTGCCCTCAAAGTCATTGCAGAAATGACGAAAGAAATTGGCCTAGAAAAATCTTTGAGAGAAAATCCAGTATTACGGGAAAGAAGAAAAAGGATATGCAGAGAAGGAATCAGGAGTAGCCAGAGAAAAAGGAAGAGAATTGGAAAACCAGAGAAGCTTGGTGAAGAAAGAATGTCAAAAAGGACCTTACTGTTAGAGATAATGACATGAAGAATACATCATCAGGCCCTTGTTAGTGTTTTGTTTGAAAACAGCAACCTAGAGGGAAAAAACAAAAGGATTTAGATTGGAACAGTTCAGCACAGTGGACACTAAAAGAGCGTATGATGTAAATATTCTCTTAAAAGAATCAAGAGCACCCAGGTAATTTCTCCTTCAGAATATCTGTAGGTTTGTCCTTGGGAGCTATCGGTCTGCTCTTTCAACATTAGAACTACTAATCCCCAGTAAAACACTAGAGGGTTACATTTAGATTATTTTGGCAGAATCATGAAGGTAGGCTGTAGATTTGGAGACCGGAAGAGTCCTTGAGAGAATTTGCATTCCAAATACCTCAAAATTGAGTCATAGCAGTTGGCAACTTCTGGTATAATCTCAAATATTCACATGATAGCAAAATCCAGTAGTTAATCCAATTGCTTACAAGATAAAAGCCATGTGGACTGCACCTAACACAGACACATACTCAAAACTGCAGTGAAAACTTTATTTGATAAGCGCTGTAACAAAAAGTGCATGTGGGTGCAGGGCACTGTGGATTGTTGGGTAGCCAGGACACAGAGAAGAGAGGACAAGCAGCTGGCCACTAAATAAGCTTCTTAAATGATGTCCACACCAGTTATCCTGTTGGAAGAGGGAACTGATAGTCCTCAAGGCATCCCCCAGCTTGTGAGTAACATCAGTGCCTAACAGGTGATTGCTGAGGGTAGAAGAACCACCCTGGGTTCTCATGGCACAGACATGCTTATTATGGATGGCAGAGGCAAGCAACAATCTTCTTGAAGCTTCTTCAATTTGTCCATCCTGCAGCAAAGACTTCAATGGACATTGCCAAATACCAAGATGCCAAGGTGGGTGATAGCACCACCTCAGTGACCTTACTGGCTGCAGAGTTTCTGAAGCAGGTGAAACCTTATGTGGAGGAAGGTTTGCACCTGAAGATCATCATTCAAGCTTTACGCACAGCCATCCAATTGGCAGTTAATGATAACAAAGAGATCACTGTGACCATGAAGAAGACAGAAAAAGTGGAGCAGAAGAAGCTGCTTGGAGAAGTGTGCCATCCTGCTCTGAGCTCCAAGCTCATCTCCCAGCAGAAAGCCTTCTTTGCAAAGATGGTGGTTGATGCAGTGATGATGCTTGATGGTTTGCTGCAGCTTAAAATGATTGGAATCAAGAAGATACAGGGTGGAGCCCTAGAGGATTCCCATCTGTTACCTGGTGTTTCATTCAAGAATTTCTTTTATGCTGGTGTTGGAAATGCAACCCCAAAAGTGCTATAATCCCAAGATTGCACTTTTAAATTTTGAGCTTGAGTTGAAAGTTAGGAAAGATAAGGCTGAGATCAGAGTCCTCACAATGGGGAATTACCAGGCAATTGTTGATGCTGAGTGGAACATTCTCTATGACAAGTTAGCAAGGATCCATCATTCTGGAGCCAAAGTTGTCTTGTCCAAACTCTCCAATGGGGATGTGGTCACTCAGTACTTTGCTGACAGGGGCAGGTTCGGTGCTGGCTGAGTACCTGAGAAGGATCTGAGTAGGACAATGATGGTCTACAGAGGGTTAATCCAGACCATTGTGAATGCTCTGTCAGCAGACATGACATGCTGGGCAGCTGCCAGGTGTTTGAGGAGACCCTGACTGGAAGTGAGAGGCACAATTTCTTTACTGGCCTCCCAAGGACAACACATGCACCTTTATCCTCCACAGTGATGCCACAACTTATGGAGGAGACAGAACAGTTCATGCCTAATTCCATCATGATTGTCAGGAGGGCCATTGAAAATGATTTGGTGGTGGCTGGTGGTGGGGCTATTGAGATAAAGCTCTCCAAGTACCTATGGGATTAGCAAGGACTATTCCAGGAACACAGCAGCTAGAGTGGGGGGTATGCTAAGGCTTTGGAGATTATCCCATGGCAGCTAAGTGACAATACTGGCTTTGATACCACAAACATTCTCAACAAGCTGTGGGCATAGCATGCCCAGAGAGGCACATGGTATGGCATGGACATCAATGATGAGGATATTGCTGACAACTCTGAGGCCTTTGTGTGGGAGCCAGCTATGTGCCAGGAAGAACACCGTCATCAGAGAAATGAATTGTCTTGCACCTTGATTTTGGACTTCCCAGCCTCCAGAACTGTGAGAGAAAAATTCCCATTGTTTAAGCCATCCAGTCTGTAGTATTTTGTTATGACAGTTCAAGCTGACTAATACAATAGAATTTTGTTAATTGAGATAACTGATAGTTTTCAGGGCACTCATAGGGCTGCCACAAAAAATATGACAAACTAGGTGGGTTATAACAACAGACATTTATTCTCTCACAGCTTGGGAGGTTAGATGTTCAAAAATCAAGGTGTTGACAGAGCCATGCTCCATCTAAATGCTCTAGAGAAGAATTCTTTCTTGCCACTCTCTGAGTTTCTGATGTTCCTTGGGTTGTAGCTTCATCGCTGTGATCTCTGCCTCCATCTTCAGATGGCTTTCTTTTCTGTGCATGTCTCTGTGTGTCTGTCTTATAAGGATACTAGTCATTGGACTTAGGTTCACCCTAATCCAGTATGTTCTCATTTTAACTTAATTATATCTATAAAACCGTATTTCCAAATAAGGTCACACTCAGAGGTTCTGGGTGGATATAAATTTTTGGAGGATACTGTTCAATCCCCTACAGCTGATAGTGAAGTAGAAATTTTCAGTAAATATTAAAATACTTCTAAAAATTACAGATCTGAATTTTCTAAGTAATAAAAATTATATTCTGATTTATTTTGTGTCACATTCTAACTCATTTTTTCCATTTCATTTAATTTCTCTTTCCTTCATTGCCCCTGTCTCAGAAGGCTATGGCTTACCCATGAGAAACGATAAACTCTCTCTTGTGGTTGATATTTATGGGAATGCAAGCTGTCAGGTAAGCTGATGCACTCTTTCTTAAATATTTGACCCACAAATGTAGCCAGACACTTGAAAAAAAATCTGTGTTTCCTAGCTGGTGTGGTTATATTAATATCAGACGAAGTAGACCTCCAGACAAGGAAAATTGCCAGAAATAAAGAGGACACTTCATAATGATAAAAGGGTCAATTCATCAGGAAGACGTATCTTAAATGTGTATGTGCCTAATAAAAAAAGTTTCAAAATCTGTGAAGCAAAACAAGATATTCTCAAATCAGTAATCACAGTTGGGCATTTTTAACACTACTATTAGTACTTGATGGACTATCCACACAAAGAATATTGATAAAGAGATAGAAAATTTGAACAGTACTGTCAACATATCTGGCCTAAATAACATTTACAGAACATTTCACCCAACACTGCAAAATACACGTTCTTTTCAGGTTTACATGAGAAATTCACCAATATAGGCAACAGGATAGACCAAAAGAAGTCTCAACAAATTTTTTAAAAAAGGAAATCTTATTGAGTATTCTCCTGCAATAGAATTACATTAGAAATCAATACAATATATAAAAATCTCCAAATATTATAAAATGGAAAAAAAATGTTTTCTCATCTCATCTTTAAAAATGAATGTCAGTGAAAGCTCTTATTCAACTCTATGAATCCCAAGTGGGTAACGAAAAATCTCCACTAAATTGTTCAAGAAAATTAACTCTCAAAACCAATTAATCTTTTTAAAATTTATTGTTTATAGAGCTCTTTACAGTTGTCTTATGTATTGCCATTGACCACTCGCTTGCTACATCAAGAAAAATGTATTCAGCAATATAAATAATGCTTTCATATAGCCCAAGATTATTTACATGAATATTCTATATTACTTTTCATGGTCTCATTTATTTAAAACCTCTAGGATCTCAAAGTCTTTCTGGAACCAGAGACGGGATTGCTAATTGTCTTGGAAATGTGAAATAAACAATTTTTCTACATATGTTAGTGCCACTGTTTATTGACTATTTGCTCAGCTCTGATGTAATTGGGGTCATTAGGGAAGCAAAAACAGCTCCCATCCTGTCAGTACCTGACCTTTAAACTAGTCGTACATTCTGTGTTACTGGATGTTAAACAAGCTAGCCCTTTCATGGCATGGTAGCTGTTGTTGCAATGCAAGCAGGAGTAGAGAGGTGCCATTCCTTATTGAAAACTTTTTTGGAAAAAAAAAAAAAGTCTTCTGCTGCAGACATGGTGTTCCAAAAATCAGACAAAATATATTTCATGGAAAATCTATTTTGAGTTCGACATTCATTTGAAAAGCTAAAACTAGCATCCGGATAAAAAAAGGAAGGGATGAAACATCAAACTGAAAATATCTTCCTATATTGTGACATTTTAGCAAATGTAAATGAAACCACCTTTAAGGCTGTCACAAGCAAAGAAATCCAACTGGGGTCTTGATGACTGAAGGAATGTTAAAGAATCTCTCATCAGCAGACCATAAAGAATAAAGCAAAAGCTATCAGTAATGTGCAGATGTTATCAGGATGTGACTACAGCACAACCCCGCATCCCGATGAAGAGACAAAACTGCAGATGTTTAACATATTACAGGAACTAACCGCAAATTCTGTTTTGCTTCTCCTACTTTATAGTGTTTAATTTTTTTTTTTTTAAAGACACATGAATTGCACTTTGGAAGAACTTCCTCCACCTCAATCACTTTGTAAGTCTAAATGCTTCCTACTAGAATGGAGGGAGTTCTGGGGAAAGTGGCATATAAATTACTACACGGGTGTGGGCAGTGGGAAGTATGCAGGGAAGGGATGTGTTTAAGCGTTTATATGGAGGTGGTGGGAAGAGAGTGCTCATCATTGTGTGATAATGGAAGCCTAGGTGTGAGATAGAGACCCATACGCTGATTTGACAACAAACCTACTTTAAATCTGCTTCAATCCTGGCAAACCAAAAGAACTCATTGAAACTTCAATTTGTTAAACAAAGTAGAACACATTTGAAGATGTGAAGCCAATAATTCTGCCCAGATGACTTTTTTCTTTTAAAGTTATAGATAGAGTAACAGTTTGATAGATAATTTATTTAGTTTTCAAAGGAATTGTTTATCTTTCGGTAACTGCCCCTCCTTGGTGATAATTATTTTAGTGGGACAGCTGAGTTTTCATTATGTTCTTGAAAACGGCCAATTATCAAATCATGAAAAGGTATACTAAGACATATATTTCTTTCATTTTGATTAGTTAGTTTAGACATACTCATGTTCCAGGAAAATTTTGTTTTCCAAAAAGAACCCAGCCTATCTATTGTGCTCAGCTGCTGGTTTGATCCCAGGTCGAAGTGGGGGTCAGCAGCTGGGGTGAGTAGGTCAGTTTGCTGGTGCCCTCTTCTGTCCGACACAGGTCTCTGCTGGCCTCTGTCCCCTCTGCTCTCTATCTGCAGTTCTGTTCTCTCCCAAGGAGCCTGCACGACCTTGCCCTTCAGGGCCTTTATTCAGAACCAGTCAATATCAGCTGGGTCACATGGACTGAAGACTACAGAATAAAAACAAAAAAAGAAGAAGGGAGGTACTTTTTTAAAAAGAACAAGATGACCTCTTTGAGATTAAAAACATAAAACACACTAAAACCCACAAATCAATTTTGGCGATGGGCTTTTACTTCAGGGAAAAACATGTAATTTACATTGGAAAGAATAAATATTAGAAAGCGTGACAAAGAATGACACTCCACTTTTGGTGAAAATGATTAAGTCTGTATGTTTATAAGGATGAAAACTCATAGAAAGATATCACCTAGAATGAAGAGTGGCTTAATATGTATTCTCAAAATAATTTTCTTTGAGATTCAGGAAAGAATAAGGCCAGAAAATGGGAGTTAACATATTGTACTTTCCAAAGGAAAGAGACAGAAGAGATACACAATAAAAAAGATAGTCCTGCTTGATGTTACAAGGCTTGAGTAAGTAATTCCAAACCGATGATTTAAAAACAAACCAAACCAATGACAAAAACAATTTTTGGTTTTAAAGCACACTCATCTATTTATGTCCACATGGACTAAATACAGTAGAAAGTAAACACAGTTCATCTTAAAGGTTGTTTAATAGTGGGCTCAATACATTCTCTTCACCTCTCCATTCCTAGTGCCTGGAACAGCATTTGGCACATTGAGAGTGTCCAATAATGTTGGTTAAATTGAATCATTGAACAAGAGTAAAGAACCCTGTTCTGAATGCTGAACAAAGTAAAATATTCAAATATTTGAATATTTCAATGCTTTCTGTCTCAGGGACCATCTCAGCTTGTAAGAAAATTTCATGTATTTTTTATGCCAGGGTAGGCAACTACAGAGGGAGTGAAAGAAATTCTTTAGAGTAAGGTTGTTCCACCTTTTGCCAAGTTGTGACCGGCTGAAAAACTCAAAACATTTTGAGGAGATGCTATCTGCCATGGGGATTACCACACTACTTGTAGGATCAAAGAAAATTCCACATTTTACCCTGGTGATTAGCTGTAATTAAATAAAGTAAGTCTTTTTAAACTTCGTTAGCAGCAAGACGTTTGCTACAGCAGAGTGGGCACAAATCATCCATTCTTAATTAAAAGATAATCCACAGGATGGCCATAATCTTCTTCTAAAAATACACCATTTCCCCCTGAAAGATTTTCTCATCAAAAAGGATAAATAACAGTTTCTATGAGTTTAAGCCATGAAGGAAGGATGCTCCTCCCGTTTGCTTGAGTGAGTGCTGAATGTGGCTGATAACATCACTTTGGCATGCTATTATCTAAAATGGTAGAATACCTCACTTCAGCAAAGTCTGACATAAATCTTTGAAAACAAAGACATTGCATATGTATGAGCTGAAATAGATATGACAGTGTTGGCACATTAATATTCCTGTCACTAGGGGGTTTCAAACTTTTAAGGAGAGGATGGGAATGAATTCAGACTGTAGCTGGTAAAATAGGGCAACATACAGTAGGACAATTAGGCATGAGGAACCATCATAAAATATGCACAGAGAAGGGTTCCCCTGCTCCCTGCCTTTGGTTAAAAAATGACTGTAGGATCATTTCTTGGGAATGCCAAGAATAATTAATTTGGCTTAGAGATCTGCATGGTTGTTCTAAGCATACTAATAAGAATATTCCACAAAGACCAGTCCCAATCAATAGAACAGAGAACTGTTTTTTCATGTGTAGCCACTGTGGTGGTTCGTGGTAACAGATGTTTCCACTTATTCCACAACAACTGTCATTAAAAGTAACTGTGGGTCCTAATTGAACAGTTCTCCACATAGTTGGATCTGTGCAGAAAATAGTTCTGTTATTGTATGTCCTACAATTACTTTCTTTTCCTGTTTTTGATTGCTGATATGATAAGCTTTACCATGATCTTTATACTGAATTTCTCTGGAAGAAGTAAATGAATGAAAAATGAATTTGTTTTTAACTCCATCTTATCCTATAGAGTATTACTGTGTGTTGGAAAACCATCTACTTAGAGATGTCAACCATTTTTAGAATAGCCTTGTAAATCATCAAATTCTAGAAAATCACCACTTAACAAGGAAGATGACATAACTGTTGTATTAGATTACATTCGGCATGGGTAATTCTGTATGCTAAGAGTTATTCAACACTAGGTCTTAATGAAAAATTGTCACTAAGTTACAGTTCTGGTGTTTGAAACTTATGTTGAAATGTTAGAATTTTTCTTTTGATAAAACATATGTGTTGATCTGGTGAGTGGAAATGAGGGGCTGCACTGCTTAAAGGCTTTTTACCAAAAGCTTTTTGGACACAGTGCTCTAGCCCTGGGAGGCTTGGTCTGAGCCCTGACAGCAGTCTTCCAGATGGAGAAAAAAGGCTTCAAAACCTCCCCTTTTGACAAAGAGACATGAAATAATATCTGACAAAGGCATCTCAAGCAAATATGATGGCAAGCCAGCAATTATGTAGGCTACAAAGGAGAGCACATCTCACTTCCAAATGTCTTTTTTTTTTCCTTCAAATTTTACTTATAACAACTCATAGAGGTGCTTAGGTCAGTATTTTTAGAAGCAATTTAATGTATGACTGTGCTTTAGGTTTGGTGTATCTCCTTTATTACACTAATGCTATTTGTCATTTCATGCATATGTCAGCATTGTTTTTGAATGGAAAATGGTTGGGAAGAAACCAAGCACAAAGAAAGGCTCTTGCAGCTCACTATATACAACTTTGTTTTAGAAAGAAAGAAATATTCCAAGGAGATAGGTTATATGACACTTGCAAAATGTTGGGATCTCTTAAATGGAGTTATATGTTGAAAGAAATAAATTAAATAATACTGGCCAAGAAAAATGACAGCAAAATTGACCAGGTCAAGCTGCATAGCTTCCCTCTTTAATCTCAGACTGTCTGTAAATGTATTATTCTCGATCTTGGAAAAGCTTTTCCGAAGATATGAAAATACTTTGTTTTGTTAGTACAATACTAAACTGTGAAGAATTTACATGTACAAAATGAATTTTGATTCAATCTTATACATAAATCATCATTAAAAGCATATATACCCCATGAATTGAAGCCCAAGTTTCAACTAGGATGAATAGTAATAATAATAATAATGATAAATGAGATGAAACACATACTTCACAAATAACTGCAACATATGCTTCCTCAAAATGTTTGCTTTTTTATTTCATAATAATCAAGCTGTTCCTGATGGAAGACACATCTCAAACAGGCAAAGTGCTCATGGTATAAAATTATTGATATGAACTGTAAATGAAAACAAAGCTACTTGGTCCTTTAAAATGTTCTCTTTCATGTTGATTTATTGCAGAAAAATAATAAATTGCAGCCTCTTCTTCCTCTGACATATCTGGGATACTTTACATGACTTTGAAATGGCTTAATTATTTTACCACCCACTGTAGAATATTCTGAAGAGGGGAAGAAAAACATGTATTTACTTTCCTGTGGACATTTCTTACTGTCTGATCCAGTATTTGGGAATACCAAAGAAGTACTGTTTAATGGGAAAGAAAAAAATAAATCAAAGGTATCAAAAATTATATTAGAAGTTACTTGATAAGAGGTAATCAATCCATTCACCACGTGGTCTGTAGTATAACGACACTGCAAGTTCTCTGATACCCACATCTGCTAATCAAGTTACCAATAAAGGGGCTGTAGATAAGGATGCTCCTGAAATTGACTATAAATACTAGTTACCATTTAAAAAGCACTAGAAAGATGTAGTCTTTTCTACCACATTCACACAAAGAAGTTTCTTTTTACCCTCACTATTTCTATCTTGGGATAACCTCTTTTGTTCTATCAGATTGTACAGATTGAATTTGCTGTGAAATTATGTTTTCTGCTAGCTATGAAAGAACAAGAATTTCAGTATACCACTGATAAAGCCATCATATTCTTTTATTTATTATGTACAAAGCATCTATTATGATTTAGACCCTTACAAAAGCTAGCATTTATTAAAACATTTCATATATTTAAATATGTTTGGTTTCAAAGATAAAATATATTATATCTTGTTTGTTTGAATAAAATGTTTGTCTCACTTTTTAGCACACCAGATGCATTTCCTTGTTTGACTTAAACAAAAATGGTCATGGGTTTGATTTTATATGGAGATAGACATTTAGTAAAATAGCTGTTTTATATGAAATGCAGAACACAAATATCTGCAAACAAATGTGAATTTGGTATTACCAATGAAGAATATACCCTAAGTCACTGGTACCATTTAATCTTATGTGCGATAGCATTTTCTTATCTAGCAAAACAAGCCCTCCATCATCTGTTACCATTTTATATAAAATAAATAAAAGACCAACTTCTTTTCTTATCCATGCATTGCTTATTCCTTGAAAAAACAGATACGTTTTATAAAAGAAGTTGTTATATTAAGATGTATGTCTGCTTTTCTTCAGAAGACAGATTAGAGTGCTTCAGCTGCCACTAAAGTTGTCGCTCTTTGTAACAAAATGTAATGCTGCATATATAAAAATGCAAAGTGTAATGTAGAGTCAAATGTCTCTCAGCACAAGAGTTGTTCGTTTTAGCACCCATTTTGTTGGTATTTATCAACTTACTAATTATAGGCAAATTGCTTCCAACACGAAAACTGTGATGATTAGCAGTTTTTTCTGCTAACTCTAGTCTACTGTAGTTCCGGTAAAGAATGTCAATAATCCAGATTCCTTTCTTTTTCCTGGCTTAGAATGTGTAAAAATAAATTCATCAGGCTAGCATTTCTCAACTTTTGGGAAACGTGGTTTTGAAGGATGGGGGTGGGAAGAGGAAAAGGAATGGATATCTAATCAAGAAGGTCTACATGCCTCTTCCCATCAATTGGGCAATCTTGAAGGCATACATGAGACTAACCTATCTATTACATAATGGAATTAGGTAATCCCAGTTTTACTAACAGAGTAATGCATTTGTGCATTGCAAGGGAAGTGCATCAATCACTAGAACCCAGCATAGAATACCTATATTAAAGAAGGGAATAAGAAGAGTTTTAAGAACTAGCTCACATACCATCACTGATAACCAGAAAATGGCTGGCATATATTGTTTTAAACCTTTCATAGAACTATGCAGCAGAGCTACATGATATTGCTTGGTCAGACATAAAACAGTTTGTAACCTTCAGCCTTCCATTACAATCCTTTAAAGTGAGCTCAAATGAAAATGGGAGTAACATGCCAATCTAGAAAATGTTTTCATAACATGCTATACAATAAAAAGGTTGAATTTTCTATCACCATTGCTAATTTCCCCCATTTGTTTCTCAGTATAATAAGGAAACAGGATTAAATGGAAAATTTTACAGTTCACAGAATACATTACACTGAAGAAATGTCTGTAGCAAATACTGACTTAGTGTCTTAACCAACTTACATGCCTCTAAGTGACTATTTCTCCCTGCTATGAAGTTTTTATAATTTTAAAGTTCTATTGGCAGGTTCCAGTCAACAATGATATCTGCAATGTCCTTCTTTCTCCAATACATTGCTTTTAGTCTAATTGCTTATTTGCAGTCTCAGCAAGCAGAGAGAAGAATTTTATCCTCTTTGCCTTGTCTCTGAATACTAACTAGCTGGCCAAGCCAAGGCTCTCTAAAGAGAGAAACTGCATGGGAGACACACTGCATTTGACACAGTCAAGAGGTAAAAGAAAGAGCAAAACAAAAGTCTATTCAGAACTGAATCCTGTGATATTCTCCCCCATCCCCCAACCCCTTTAAAAATAAAGAGAAAGGGGCGAAATACCCATAAATCCATGCCTGAATGCCTGAAGTTGTCAGAATAAAGGACAATGAATGACAGGTGACTGTCAGTCTAATTCTCAGTCTCCAAGTTATCACTTTTTGGCATTGTTGAACAAAAAAAGTGTATACATAACAAGGAAATATGTCATAAGTTCTCTATGAATGCGCAGACAGGTTCAATATGGGAGAAGAACTTAAGTATTTCCACATGGGCACATGCATTTCCTTCCAGTTCTGTGTATTTTTCCTGGAAAATGTTCTGAAATTATTGTTTTTCTAATGACAAGAATGCTAAATAACTTTGGGGAAAATGCTGAAGGGTTATTAAACTGCTTGCCTTTTAATTCTTTTTTTAAGAATGAGAGATATAACTTGATATATAAAACTCCTTGCACATGTTGCTACATTTTTAAAAAAGAAATAAGAACCAACTGATGAGAGTTTTTCTGTTTGATTTTTAAAAGGCTCTTCTCAAGCTATTTTCCCCCAAGATCTCTTTATACTTTCATCCTTGCAGACTGCCTTAATCCTCCTGTCTTTGTTGTTCCAATGTCTGATCAGCTTGTTCTACCCCACATTTGCTAGAACTGAAACTTGACTTCAGGCACTTGCAGTTATAAATCCCTACAAACCTACAGGGTTTCCAGAGAAAGGTGGAGAGTGCTGAAGCAGGAAAGGTTTTGATGGCTATTTAAATAATGTATATTAACTTGTCTGTTGCATTTACTACAGGTACAGAGAGATAAATGTGGAGTGATGGAGTAATTTGTAATTAAAATAAGTTTGGCCTCTTCTCAGATTACTGGCACACTCCAGTCTGTTGACCATCTGTAGTAGGACAAAGATTCTATTCTGAGTTCCACTGGGCTGGGTAAGAGACACAACTTCACAGAGCCCCAAGTTTCTACATCTTACCACGGTGGGCATGAAGAAAGTTCATTGTCGCCAGCCTTCTGATGTCAGATATAATCAGGTGATTAGAAGAGTATAGAGACAGTAATCTGTATCACTGCAAACACATGGCACTATTCTGGGGAAGTGCCGCTGGAGGTATCACCCCAGCAGGTGTTACTAAATGTTCTAAGCCTTTTGAGAGAAATTAAGAAGGGAAAGTGTGTAACTGAAATGAATTAAAAAAAAACAGGAGTAAGTTATATCTTTTTTTCCTTTTCCTTGCTGTAAAGGAAAAATAAATGTTTAAAGTAGGAACATGACAGAATTCTATTTCACTGTTAAACATGAACAATAGCTTTTTCACATTAACAGTGAAATACACAGAATTATCTCATATGTACAATAATTTGTTCATATTTAACAGTGAAATACACAGAATTCTCTCATGTTCCTACTTTTAAAGTTTGGAAATTAAAAGTACTTGATAGGAAACAGTCATCTTAGTCTTCGAGAAATTAATTTGTATGGGAGGCTGAGGCGGGCAGATCACGAGGTCAGGAGTTTGAGACTAGCCCGGCCAACATAGTGAAACCCCATCTCTACTAAAAATACAAAAAATTAGCTGGGCGTGGCGGCAGTCGCCTGTAATCCCAGCTACTCAGGAGGCTAAGGCAGGAGAATGGCTTGAACCCAGGAGGCGGAGGTTGCAGTGAGCCGAGATCATGCCATTGCACTCCAGCCTGGGTGACAGAGTGAGACTCCATCTCAAAAACAACAACCACCACCACCAAAAAAAAAAAAAAAAAAAAGAAAGAAATTAATTTGTAGATTATTTGACAAACTGATAATATGAGAACCATCCTTGATTTCATATAAAATTTATTTTTGCACAAAAGTGAACAAGATTCCTGGATTCTATTTTTCTTTTTTTCCCCATTTACAGTAGATATAACTTAAAATGCTTCATCTGAGTGTTTATTTCAGGAGCTCAAGCAGAAATGATTATGTCTAACACCTGAAAATGTTTTCATATAGTAGTTGTAATTATTTGTACTTATTTGTAGTAATTCTGTTTCTACCTCTTATTTATGATGGTTCTCATAAAAAAAATCTCCTGGGGAAAACAGTAATTAAAAAATCTTCCTGTTATAATTGATATTGACAGGTTTACAGAAACTAAACTTGAAAGTCACAGATAAAATTGTTTTAAACTTCAGGATTATAGTCTACTATTACTTTTGGTTAATAGAAAATACACGGGTATGAAAATTAAATATGACAGTGATATGAGGAAAAGGTTTCATTTGAGAAGAAATTGGAGGCTAACTTCTAATAAATAAAATTAAATCTATGCACATTTAAAGAGTGTGTTTTTGAGACGGGATCAAATGATCAAAAATCCAAGTTTGCTATTGAGTAGTTGCATGAAAATATTTTGTAATGAAAAGAGAATAATTGTTATTTTTAAACTGATGGGGTTTTTTTTTGTGGAATGTGTTTGTGTATAGGGATGTGTGTGTAGGGGTGTGTGTGTGTGTGTGTGTCTGTGGTGGAATGATAGTGAGAAAGTAGGAAGAGTTACGTTGGGAATAATACTGTTTCATACTAGAGACTTTTCAAAATGAAGATATATAATTCTGCATTTCATTTATATTTAACAAGACCTACTATACAGTTGAGGGAATCCCAATTATTTTGAAAAATAATGACATATGGGTCAGTCACATCTTGACAACTCCTGATGAGGGTTCAAGGAAAAATTCAGGGTCTTAAAAATACAGAAATCTAAGTAGATCACCATCATCATGTGATGACAGCAAGTTTTACACATTTTCTGAAAGATAATTATTTTATGAGCTAGTTATATCTATGAAGACTGATAATTTCTTTTTCTAATAACAAAGAACAATGTGGTCAGAAGGGATGAAATACTCAGCTGATCATCATTCTTAAATAGTAGGTAATAAATGCTTTCCTTCTAAAAGCAATTAAGCTTAAATGCATTAGTAACTGTATCTTAGCCAATATTTATCCTCTAGGTTGTAACGATGCAGTGTCAGGGATAAGAAGCGGAGAAATGATTACTATGAGCCAGATAGAGAGGCAGCAAGGCAGGGGTGAGGTTTGTCCTCTGGATAGAAGAATGGGAAGTTAAGAATAGGTCTGGGAAAGGAGGAAGAGCATGGTGGAAGAGGAATGAAATGAGCAAAGACACAGATATGAGGATGAATATAGGGGTAAAACGTTCAAACCCTGACCTTCCCTTTATAGGGATAGGTAGGTAGGTAGATAGACAGATAGAGATGGATACATACGGAATGGAGAACCTCATGGTGGAAGTAAAATTCTGTGATGATATTTTAGGAAAGTCTATTCTTCTGTATTGATATTATTTACATTTTATAAATAATAGAGTGACATCAACAATGGCTGGCTAGAGTTACCTGGTACTTGTCCTCCCCACCAAAAGGAAACAAAAAATGAGTAAAGAACTATATTTTGAGTACAATGACTAAGGAAGTATGCTGGGGAACACCAGGGTAATGACAAAAATCCCTGTGTCGCACAGAAAACCAGAATAGCAACATAAAGAGGTGAGCAAGACATTCTGCCTTTGCCACTCTGCCTTGTCCACTGGGCTCAGCTCAGAGTCAGTGGAGACATCTTCTTATGAAGGAAAGGTAAGCTGGAGTTATCCAGAGGTCCCCATGGCAGCCACAAACATCAGCAATCCTGTCCCACAGTCCTCATAGGCCTTTACTCCAGTTTGTACAGTAGCCAGGAGTTGTGCAGCTGCATTGCCTCAGAGTAGAAGCCCACCTTGAACAGTCTCCACCCCCATGGCCTAAGCTGCTATGGCTCAGCTTTGTCTTGAAACTGGACACACTGCTAGAGTGCATTCTTCCCTGGGGGCCAATAGCAACCAATTCTTTCTATGGCTGAAGCCCCACTGTCTTATTATCATGTTCACACTGGTGTCTGCAATACCATGACGCTTGCTGCCAAGAGCCTAGGCCAGATGGAATGAATAAGACCCCAACATGTAAACCCATGTGGCACACCACCCCTTCAGGGAGCAAGCAGAGTGGTAGCCACTAAACAGCCAACTGGGTGCCTCACCCATGAACACTTGTGTTGAACAACTGACTGGCCCACTTATCCTGCACATGTCCAGCCTGAAAGCTGGTCCTATGGTGATCTGATCCCCTCAATAGACCACTGCAAATCAACTCAGCCCTGCCATACTTGGGCTCACCTGTGTCCAGCTTGACAGCTGGTCCAGTGGTAGCTACATGTCCCTGGAAAGACTTCTGCAAGGCCACCCAGTCCTGCTGCACCTGCTTGCACCTGCATACAATGGCACCTGGCCTGACAACCAGTGCTGCCGTGGCTTGAACCTGTGGACAGACTTCCTCAAGGCAGCATGGCATGGCCATGCTCACATGTACCTATGCCCAGCACAACTACTTGTCTGGCTGCAGCTTCCTTCCCCTGACAGACTGCTGCAGAACCACCTGGCCCTGCTGTGCTCATGTACACCTGACTCAATAGCCAGTCCAGTGGTATCTCCAGTTTCCCAGAAAGACAGCCACACAGCTGCTCAGCCAGTTGTACCCTGTCCAACAGCTGGTCTAGCAGGAGCCACTGCCTTCATGGAAAGCCCAGAGGACAGTCTGTCAATTTCTTTGCCTGCCCACATCTGCCCCTGCAACCAGCCTGATATCTCCCCTACCCCCAGCAAAACTGCACCACAACCATCATAAACTCACACAGACTAGGCCACTGAAGCAATCACAGGTGTTGCTGACAAGAATTATAGTTAAATAAACTGACAGAGACCATGCTACTGAGTCCACCAGAATGAAAGTTAATGCATCATACCCAATTGACACCCTAAGACCTATCTACAGAAAAACTCCCTATGTAAGCTACTCCATAAAATTGGAAAAAGGGACTGTTTCTCTCAGTGTGCACACAAAAATGTAGGAACATAAGAAAAGTTTAAAAAGAAGGAAACATGACACCCTCAAAGGAACACAATAAATCTCGTGGTAACAGATTTCAAAGAAAGAACATTTATAAATTGATTATGAAGGAATTCAGGCATTTACAAAATGCCTTTAAAAGGTTATTATTATAAAATAAAAATCTGAAGAAAGATACAAGAACATAAACAAAAGACAACCAATTAAAGGAAATCAGTAAAACAATTCATCATCTGAATGAGAAATTCAACAAAGAAATAGAGATCATAAAAAGGAACCAACAAAAATCTTGGAGCTGAAGAATTCAATGAATAAAATAAAAACACCATTGAAAGCTTCAACAACTGACTAGCTCAGGCAGAATAAAAAGTCTCTGAATTGAGTACAGGTCTTTCGAAATAACCTTGTCAGAAGAGAAAGAAGAATAAGAAAGAATAATGAAAGCCTATTGGATGTACAGAATAACACTGAGCAAACAAAATTTGCATTAGAGAAGTATCAGAAGGAGAAGAGATGGTAAAACACACAGAAAACCTATTTAAAGAAATAATAGCGAAAATTTCCCAAGTATTGAGAGAGACATGGATATTCAAACTCAAGGAGCTCAAAGACCCACAAATATATTAAATGCCAAAAAATTCCTCTTCAAGATGCATTATAATCAAACTTTTAAAAGTGAAAGAAAGAGAATTCTGAAAGCAGCAAGAAAATAGCATCAAGTCAAATATAAGACAATTATTATTAGACTATCAGCAGGCTTCTCAGCATAAATCTTGTAGGCTAGGAGGGAATAGGATTATATATTCAAATTTATATATTCAATTTAGCAAAGCTATCCCAGAAGTAAGGGAGAAATCAAGACCTTCCAAGACAGGCAAAAGCTGAAGAAATATATAATCACTAGACTGGCCTTACAAAAAGTGCTTAAGGGAGCATTATAGCTGTGAACAAAAGAACTATAATTACTATTCATGAAAATATAGGAAAGTATAGAAATCACCAGTAGAGGTAAATCTATGTATCAAACTAAGAATACCCCAGTGATGTAATTGCACTATGAAAATTTCTCAATACTCTAGTATGAAGGTTTAAAATAAAAATGATGGAAAACATCAACAGCCACAATTAGGAGCTAAAGAATATATGATAGATAAGAAAGTAAATTAAGGCAACAAAAATACAAATTATAGGGCGGGAGGAAAAAAGTCTAGAGTACTCTTATGTGAGCAAAATTCAGTTGCTTTCAGCTTAATAGTCTATTATAACTATATGACTCTTGATGTTAGCCCCATGATAACCAGAAAGCAAGAAATTACAGCAGATAGGCAATGAGAAAAAAGGAAACTAAGTTTAGCACCAAAGAAAACTACCAAGCCACTGAGGTAAATAAGTGAGGAAGAAAGGAACAAAGGACCCAGAAATATTCTTAGACCTAAAGGGAGAACTAGACTGCGATACAACAATAATAGGAGCCTTCAACACTCCCAGTTTCAACAGTAAACATATTATTTCAATTAAAAATCAACAAGGAAGCATTGGACTTAATTATACCATAGAGTAAATTAACCTAACAGATATTTACAAAACAACCAGAAAACAATTAACAAAATTGTAGGAGTAAATCCTTATATATTAATAACCTTGAATGTAAATGGATTCAATTCCCCAAATTAAAAGATATAAAGTAGCTGAACAGATACGAAAAATAGGAATAAACTGTATGTTTCCTACAAGAGACTCACCTCATTGTTAAAGACAAACAGACTGACAGTGAAGGGATGGAGAAAGATATTTATGCAAACAAAAAACAAAAGTGAGCAAGAATAGCCCTACTTACATTAGATAACATTGGCTTTAAGTGAAGAACTATAAAAAGAGACAAAGAAGTTCATTATATAATGACAAAGGGATCAATTCAACAAGGTAATATAACAATTGTAATATATATGCACCCAACTCCCAAGCACTCAGATATATAAAGCAAATATTATTAAATCTAAAGGGAGAAGAAGATAATAGGAGTAGGAGACTTTAACACCCCACTTTCAAAATGGACAGATTATCTAGACAAAAAAATGAATGAAAAAACATTGGACTTAAACTACATTGTAGACCAAATTAACCTAAGAGACATTTACAGAACATTTTATCCAGTAGCTGCAGAATACACATTTTCCTCAATTGCATGTAGAACAATTTCCAGGATAAAATACATGTTAGGCCACAAAACAAGTCTGAAGAAATTTAAGAAGATAGAGATTATATCAAGTATATTTTTTGACCATGATGGTATAAAACTAGAAATCAACAGTAAAAATCAATTCAGAAACTGTATAAATACATGAAAATTAAATAATATGCTTCTAAAAATCCTGTGAATAAATAAAGAAATTATAACAGAAATTAAAAATTTCCTGGAGACAAATGAAAATGGAAAAACATTATACCAAAACCTATGGGACACAGCAAAAGCATTTCTAAGAGGAAAGTTTATAGCAATAAATGCCTACACCAGAAATAGAAGAAAGACCTCTAATAATAATAATAATAAAACAAAAGATACAACCCAAGAAGCTAGAAAAACAAGAACAAACTAAATCCAAAATCTGTAGAAGGAAGAAAATATAAAATGTTCAGAGCAGAAATAAACAAAGTAGATTATAGAAAAACAATTTAAAAGATTAACAAAATGAAGAGTTTGTTTTTTGAAATGATAAACACAATCAATGATCCTTTAGTTAGATTAACTAAAGAAAAAAGATAAATAAAATCAAAGATGAAAAAGGAGACATTACAACTGATGCCACAGAAATACAAAAGATCATAAGAGACTATTATGAAAAACTGTGTGCCAATATATTAGATATACAGAAGAAATGGATACATTCCTGGATATACAAAGATTAAATTACGAAGAAATAGAAAATCTGTATAGACCAATAACAAGTGAGAAAATCAGTAATAAAAAAAATCTTTCATCAAAGAAAAGCCCTGGGCCTGCTGAATTCTACCAAACATTTAAAGAAGACCAATTCTCCTCCAACTATTCTAGGAAGTTGTGGGACAGAGAATATTTCCAAACTCATTTTATCAGGCCACCACTACCCTGATTCCCAAACTGGACAAAAAAAACACAACAAAAAACTACAGGCCAATATCCCTGATAAACACAGATGCAAAATTCCTCAACAAAATAGTAGCAAACCAAATCTAACAGCACATTAAAAAGGCCATTCGCTATAATCAAGGGAGATTCATCACAGGGATGCAAGTGTGGCTTAACATACAGAAATCAATAAATGTGGTTACACCACATTAACAGAAAAAAAAGACAAAATCATATGATGACTTCAGTAGATGCAGAAAAACAATTTGACAAAATTTCACATCCCTTAAGATAAAAACTCTCTACAAATTGAGTCTAGTAAGTTATGTACTTCAAAACAATAAAGGACATATATGACAATCCCACAGTTAACATCATACCGAATGGGGAAAAGCTAAAAGCTAATCCCCAAAGATCAGGAACAAGACAAAGATGCCTGCTTTGACCACTCCTATTCAACACAGTAATAGAAGTCAGAGCAACTGGCAAGGGAAAGAAATAAAAGGCATCCAAATTGGAAAGGAGGAAGCTGAAGTATCCCTGTGTGCAGATGACATGACCTTATATATGAACAACCCCAAAGACTCTACCAAGAAACTGTTAGATCTAATTAATAAATTCTGTAATGTTACAGAATACAAAATCAACATACAAATATCAGTAGTATTGCTATTTTCTAATACTGAATGATCTGAAAAGGAAATCAAGAAGCCAAATTCATTTACAATAGGTACAAAACTAAGGTACTTAACCAAGAAGGTGAAATATCTCTACCCTGAAAACTATAAAACTTTGATGAAAGACATAGAAAAAGACACAAAAAAATGGAAATGTATTTTGTGTTCATGGTTTGAAAGAATTAACATTGTCCAAAATGACCATACTACCCAAAGAGATCTACAAATTTAATGCAATTCCTATCCAAATACCAATGATATTCTCCACATAAATAGAAAAAATATCCTAAAATTCATATGGAACCACAAAAGACTTTGAATAGCCCAAGCAATTCTGAACAAAAAGAGTAAAGCTGAAGGCTTCTTTTACCAAAGAAGTGAAAAATCTCTAGAAGAAAAACTATAAAACACTGATAAAAGAAATTGAAGAAGACACAAAAAATGGAAAGATATCCCATGATCATTGATTGGAACAACTAATATTGTTAAAATGTCTACACTACCCAAAGCAGTCTACACATTCAAAGCAACATCTATAAAACTACTAACATTAAATAATCCTAAAATTTGTAAGAAAACCACAAAAGACTCTGATTAGCTAAAGAAATCCCAAACAGCCAGGGGTAGTGGCTCATGCCTATAATGCTAGCAGTTTGGGATGCTGAGGTAGGTGGATCACTTGAGGCCAGGAGTTTGAGACCAGCCAGGCCAACATGGTGAAACCTTGTCTCTACCAAAAATACAAAAATTAGCTAGGCATGGTAGCACACACCTGTAATCCCAGCTACTCAGGTGACTGAGGCACAAGAATCACTTGAGCCTCGGAGGTGAAGGTGGCAATGAGTGGAGACTGTGCCACTGCACTCCAGCCTGGGCAACAAAGCAAGAGTCTGTCTCAAAAAAAAAAAAAAAAAAAGAAAAGAAAAGAAAAGAAAAAATATCCTGATCAAAAAGAACAAAGCTGGAGGCAGGCATCACACTTCCTGATTTCAAATTATATTACCAAACTATAGTAACCAAAACAGCATGGTATTGGTATACAAACAGACACATAGGCCCATAGACCTATGGAACAAAATAGAGAAGGCAGAAATAAATCCACGCAGTTACAGCAAACTCATTTTTGACAAAGGTGCCAAAAATGTGTAATGGGAAAAAGACAGTCTCTTTAATAAATGGTGCTGAAAAAATTGGGTATCCATATGCAGAAAAATGAAACTGGATTCCTATCTCTTACCATATACAAAAGTCAACTAAAGATGGATTAAATATTTAAATTTAAGACCTGAAACTATGAAACTACTGAAAGAGAATTGAGAAAATGCTACAGGACATTACTCTTGGCAAATATTATCTGGGGGTAAGTTGCAAAAAGCACAGGGAAGAAAACCAAAAATAGACAAATGGTATTATACCAAGCTAAAAATCTTTGAAACAGCAATGAAAACATTAGCAAAGTGAAGAGATGACCTACAAGATGGGGGAAAATATTTGAAAACCATTCATCTGACAAGGGATTAATAAGCAGAATATATAAAAAACTCAAACAACTCAACTGCAAAAGAAAATTCGATTAAAAATGAGCAAAAGACATGAATCAATATTTCTCAAAAGAAGACATATGAATGATCAACAGGTATATGAAAAAATGCTCTGTATCACTAATCACCAGGGAAATGCAAATCAAAACCACAATGAGATAATACCTCACTCCAGTTGGAATGGCTAGTATCAAAAAGACAAAAGTCAGGAAGTATTGGCAAGGATGTGGAGAAAAGGAACACTTACACATTGTTGGGGTTGTAAACGAGTGTGGCCATTATGAAAAACAGTATGGTAGTTCCTCAAATAATTAAAAATAGAACTGCCATATGATCCAGCAATCGTACTACTGGGTATATACCCAAAGAAATGAAATCAGCATGTAAAAAATATAACTGCACTCCCATATTTATTGCAACACTATTCACGATAACGAATATATGGAATCAACTTAAGTGTCCAACAAGGGATGAATGAATGAAGAAAATGTGATATATATATATATAGATATGGAATATTATATATTCCATATCTATATATATATATGGAAACTATTCAACCATTAAAAAGAATGAAATGTGTTATTTGTGACAAGGATGAATCTGAAGGACATCATGTATAGTAAAATAAGCCAGGCACAAAGAGACATATATCACATGTTCTCATTCATATGTGGAATCTTAAAATTTTTTTACATCATAGAAGTAAAGAGTAGAATAGCAGTTATCAGTGATTAGAGAAGGGAGGGGATGGGGGACAAGGGAGAGTTTATTCAATGGGTACAAAGTTATAATTTGATAGGAATAATAAGTTTTCATAATCTATTGCACAGTTGGGTGACTGTGGTTAACAGAAAAACATCGTATATTACAAAATAGCTAGAAGAGAGGCTTTTGAACATTCTTACCCCAAATAAATTATAAATGCACGAGGTGATGGATAGATTAACTAGTCTGATTAGATCACTGTACAATATATATATAAGCACTGAAACATCATATTGTATCCCATAAATACATACAATTGCAATGTGTCAAAAAATAAAAACATTTTAAAAATAAATTTTACAAAGGAGAGGTTTTATCTTATAAGAAATACTGAGAAATAGAGATTTAAAAGTCTTGCAATTTAAACTAAAAAAAACCACTTTTCTAGCCTTGACAACGTGGCAAAACTCTGCCTCTACAAAAAAAAAAAAATACAAAAATCAGCTGTGTGTGGTGGTGTGTGCCTGTAGTCCTGGGTACTCAGGAGCCTGAAATGGGAGAATCACTTGAGCCTGGGAGGTCGAGACTGCAATGAGCCGTGACCATGCCACTGCGCTTCAGCCTGGGCAACAGAGTGAGGCCCTGTATCAAAATAAATAAATAAATAAATAAATAAATAAATAAATAAATAAATAACTTTTCTGATTGATAAATGGAAATTCAGATTAGACATTCCTGCAACAACTAAAATGACCCACTCATGTTCCTCCTTCCCCTGGGCTCCAGGACTCAAGTTCAAAAGACAGTGTAGCAGTAGCTTATGCAGTACTATATTAAATATAAATTGGTACAAATATTCTGACAAGAAAAAAAGCTAACATTCTCTACAGGTTAAAAGCCTTGAACATGTATATATACTAGTAATTCTGCTGGTTGGAATTCATAAAAGATAAATAATCAAATAACCCAGGTAGTTAAAAGGGAACCAACCTAAATGTGAACTGTAAAAGTTTAATTAAATAAACAGTGTTATATTCAGAGAGCCATCATTGCTTTATTTCAAACACACATACACACACACACAAATCAACATTGACAGTTTTTCAAAGTTAAGGTGAAATGGAACAGTTCCTCCTGATCAGCACCCTTTGGATCGTATATGGGTAGTCTATGTGGGTAGTCTAGACTTCTACTCATGAGATGGTTAAACAAGTACATCTTCTTGATTATGTCAGGCAGGGAAGTTGTTCACTATGCTACATATGACTGTTTGCCATCCTTGTCCCTACAGTGGAAAAGTTCAGTTTGATTATGGAGTAGAAAATCACTATTTACAGCAAGAGGAATTTAAATACCAATAGTATAGTAAAATATAAAAAGAAGATGTAAATGGTGTTAACATTAAGATGGCCTATAGAAATCATCATTGCTTTACCTGTGCCCTAAATAGAAAAAATGACAAAAATTCTAGCTAAAATCTGTCAGAAAGAAGCAGAGTTATGAGTAAGGATTTTTCAGAGAAGTATGTGAAGCAATCACAATTGTAAGATTAAGTTTTACTTTGCATATAGGTTATATATATATATTTTTTACAAATGGTTTTACACTTACTCAAAGTGTTAAAGTGAGAATCAATTGAAGCTAGAAATTCTCACAATTTTCATGGAGTGCTACCCTTGAAGGTTTCAAGCGTCTGCTCATTACAATTTTAAATGCATTTAGTTAAGTCTAGCATTTATTTTCCTTTTTCTACCTGTAAATAATACACTGGTAACACTAAAAATTCACTTTGGAGAAGATGCTATTTTTCCACAGAACAGAGTTAGGGCAGTGGTCAAAAATCATTTTTAACACACTCCAAGTGTATCCCCCTCTGTTTAAAGAGCAAGGGCAGGTATCTGATCTTATCAATCTCCATGTTCCTGAGTGTCCAACAGTTGAAGATACTAAGCAAATGTGTGTGGTGCAAAGACCACTCTGAGATAATCCCCACTCCATAGAAGTTGATGCATTCATTGTTCCCTGACTACAATTGCCCCTTTTCTCTGCTTAGAAAGTTCTTATTCAGGCCAGGTGCAGTGGCTCATGCCTGTAATCCCAGCACTTTGGGAGGCCGAGGCAGGTGGATCACAAGGTCAGGAGTTCAAGACCAGCCTGGCCAATATGGTGAAATCTCGTCTCTACTAAAAATAAATAAATAAATAAATAAATAAATAAATAAATAAATAAATACAAAAATTAGCCGGGCATGGTGGTGAGTGCCTGTAGTCCCAGCTACTAGGGAGGATGAGGCAGAAGAATCGCTTGAACCTGGGAGGCAGAAGTTGCAGTGAGCCGAGATGGTGCCAACGCACTCCAGCCTGGGTGACACAACGAGACTCCGTCTCAAACAAACAAACAAAACAAACAAACAAAACCAGTTCTTATCCATTCCGCTGTGCCTGTTGAAACCTCGTTCTTCCCCGGGTCACTGTCTCTAGTTTCTTTTACTGATTAGCTGAGACCACCATCATTTCCTTTTTCTTTAGTACTGGTATTTTTGTCTGTTTCACTCCCAATATTACATACATTATCTTAATTATAAACTATCTTTCATAATTACACACTTTATGCATCATAATGTTTCTTCCTTGCAAGCAACAGAAACCAACTCTGGTTAACAAAAGTGAAAGGAAACTTATTGGAAGAATATCAGGGTAGGGGTGAGGGCTCATAAAATTAAGTTGGTAGATGAGGCTTCAGACCATGATTCAAGAGAATTCGGGAAGGATAGGATTTTGTAGCAGAAATCACAGTAACAATCCAATAGCTAGAACAGAGGTGAGAACATCATCATGGTGATGGCTGTTCCTGAGTCACTCAAATTCCTTTTAATATCTTAAAAACGAGGACCCGAATGGTAGATTGAGGCCACAGATAAAACCTCTACTAGTGGCCTGGGGAGAAAAAATGATTTGACCCCTTTGCTTTTCTTTTCCTTTTTTTTTTTAATATTTTTTTGAGACGGGAGTCTCACTCGGCTGCCAGGCTGCAGTGCAATGGCGTGCCATCTCGGCTCACTGCAACCTTCGCCTCCCGGGTTCAAGCGATTCTCCTGCCTCAGCCTCCCGAGTAGCTGGGACTACAGGAGCCCACCGTCACTCCCAGCTAATTTTTGTATTTTTAGTAGAGATGGGGTTTCACCATGTTGGCCAGGATGATCTCTAGATCTCTTGACCTTTTAGAAAAGCCCCCACTTGCTTTTCTAAAAGGAAGGGAGAGGCATGGAATTCACACACATGAGGAAAGAGAGCGGATTTCCAAAAAGAAAATTGTTGGGGGGGTCATTATGAGGAAGCATAAATGAGGAGCAGCCATCTATTTATTAAACTTTAATTAGATTATTAGTTCCTGAGGCACAAGGAATACCTTCCCCCCACTCCCGCCGCCCCGAGACGGAGTCTTCCTCTGCCACCCAGGCTGGAGTGCAGTGGGGCCATCTTGGCTCACTGCAACCTCCGCCTCCCAGGTTCAAGCAATTCTCCTGCCTCTAATTTGCCTCTCTTGCCGGCTAATTCGTACTTTTAATAGAGACGGGGTTTCACCTTGTTAGCCAGGATGGTCTCGATTTCCTGACCTCGCGATCCGCCCGCCTCGACCTCCCAAAGTGCTGGGATTACAGGCATGAGCCACAGCCGCCTAGCTAGGAAAATCTCTTATGCTACTTTTTCAGCAGGATTCAATAATGCCTTGGACAAGTAGAAGGTCAGGTATTAGCTGGAGAAAAAGAGGGATGGAGACAGAGGTGGTATTATTTACTGAAATCATATGACTGGGTTACATGTGGTCCATGAATGCTGTCATTATTCTGATGCCCGTAAGTCAAAACCAGGTAAGCAGCACTCATTCTAGAAGGCTGCCTTAATGAGACTTGTGCACGGAGACTGCACAAACTGGAAAGTTCACACATTAACAAAGAATACATGTAATAATGCTCTTACTATAGTACATGATTAAAGGTATTCAGTAAGTTATAGTTATAGTATCAGAGTTAAGTCTTCTCCACTGGTACAGAGGAGCGTACTATCCCGGCCTTTAAAAAATATCCCCTTTGTTGATCATCCAGCCTGTCCAAAAGCTCCACAGAGGAACGATGTGGCCCTATATTTAATATCTTCCCACTGGTAAAGTAAGAATCAGTGATTCTTGAGTGATGCAGCAGATATCAGGCAGGCTCAGTTAAGTATCTGTACCATTTTAAAAATGATACAATGAATAATCCTGTCCAACTACTGTTTGAAAAACAAATAAATTGCTAATAAAATATATTAACTACAACAAAATTCCAGTCTTCCCCAACCCAGAAAATTTGTTAGGAAGTAAAAGCATTCACTAGACACATTGTGTAAGGAATATTTTCAGTGTTCTGGCTTTACTTAGTTATTTCCTCATTTCCAAGTTAAGCCAAACAAATACGAGGAAGATGACAATGCCAGGAAACTTGCCTCCATCCTCCTTTCCTATGACTGCACCTGCTGTCAGGGTGCTGACCAAAGTTGAAAGGTCAGTATTCACCTGTGGCAGATGTGCCTCATTATGATAAACACTTCGATGTTGGAAATGGTTCTGTTCACAGATAGTTTATCATTCAGGTGAGAAATAGAAATGTGAGAGAGCTTCACTGCTGGAAATCTTATTTCATATTTGAGTGCAATTAACCAGCTGATAAACAGGCTTTTGTTTTCCATCTGAATGGCCAATGCCCATTCATTTGGGATATGTCAAATGAGCAACAATAACAATAAAGTTTATGTATTTTGGCTCTCATTTGCTCTAAAACCTGCAGTAACCTCCTGCATTGGAATCAAGAACCTGAACTGAGTGTGCAAAATAATTATCTTCCAGAATCCACCTGGTGGTGAGGATATGGAAGATTATCTTGTTTTGAACTGGAAATAAGGAGTAAATAATGCATTTTTATTTCAATGGCTCTTTATTTTAGTGCAATCAGAACATGCTTGTAAGCCCTAGTATTCTATATTCCATATGCTTATATCACTTAAACACAGAGAAGATGTACTTCACCACATTTCTAAACATATTCTAATTTTAAAATTAGACAATATTGTCCTATGACAATATCATATTATCTGAAGTATCTTATAGCCATTTTCTAAACACTTATTGATAATACTGAGGACGTTCTGTCATTGCTTAATTTTGACCATAAACTCTAAATTTTGCATCTTCACTTTATTTTTCCTCCTCATCCATATATTTTCCAGCACACCATAGTCATCTCCTTTTTAAAAAATAAATCTAAACAGTAAGATCCTCTCTCCCTGTTTTGGCTTAATGTGGTATTTTCACAAATGTAGATGACACACGATTTCATTGTTTTTTTTTTCCTCACAGGGATGATTGAAAAGAAAAGCCACCTATATCCTCTTGCTTAGTTTCCCTTGACAAAAATGATTAAAGTGAGCTGTGTAGCCCTGTAACCATGGAACAGATTTCCTGTACAATGTTCATAGCTTTGGCAAAGTAATTATTATTGCCGCACAACTTCTGGTAGAATTTGTGAAATAATAGAAATTACATTATTAGCTGTTATGTATTGACTCAGACATATCTAGATCAGTGTAAGAAGATAAATCAATGTAGATTCTCATTTACTCTCCCTATAACTATTTACTAAGCATTACTACGTTCTATTTCCTTGATGATAGAAATATGAATAATGTGTGGCTTCAGCCTGAAGGATTTAACAATGTAGCATTTTTTGTTATACTGGTAGAAATAGCATAGATGGTGATTAGTAATGATTTGGGTTTGTTTTGGGGAAGAATTACTGGGAAACAACAGAGACCTGTATATATGTCACCTGGGAAATCCACACTAGTTTGATTTTTTACCTTATTTCGCCTTCTACCACAGTTTTACCTAAAAGTGATATTGCTTAATTATTGATGCCTATCACCCAAATCTTATTTATATTTTAGAGAGCATCTAGGTTGTCAAAAGATTTCAAAAGACAGACATAGAATGGTGGGACCAAACTTTAAGCAAATGTAGAAGACTTTTCTTAGTTACTCCTCTGTCTGAAAAAGTGTTATGTGCGCTTTATAAAATATGTTCATTAACATAAAATATATGCTTTTCTTGTAGGGTTGGCACATGCATATATATTAGTTACAGATAATATACAATACACATATATACACACACATACTTAAGCACATTTATACACCAATGTGAATCATGTGGTATAGACCATTTTTAAAAAGTGCTACCTCAAATCTAAATAATACATCACTGTGGAGTGGTGTTAGTCATAGGGAAAGATGATATGAAATTCAACGTAGCCGGGCGCGGTGGCTCACACCTGTAATCCCAGCACTTTGGGAGGCCGAGGTGGGAGGATCACGAGGTCAGGAGATCGAGACCACCCTGGCTAACACAGTGAAACTCCGTCTCTACTAGAAATGGTGGCGGGTGCCTCTAGTCCCAGCTACTCAGGAGGCTGAGGCAGGAGAATGGCGTGAACCCAGGAGACGGAGCTTGCAGCGAGCTGAGATCGCGCCACTGCACTCCAGTCTGGGCAACAGAGCGAGACTCTGTCTCAAACAAAAAAAAAAAAAGAAAAAGAAAAAGAAAAAAAAGAACAAAAAAAGAAATTCAATGTAAAATGAAATATTGAATTTGCTCTAGTAAAAGGAGAGGAGAAGGATTATGTATGTCCCTAATAAGAAAAACAGGGAAAGGTAAAAGAAACAATATAGAGGACTTAATTTGGTTGATAAATTTAGGAATTGTAAAATTCACCCAGTACTTTCACTACAGCCAAAGAATTGGCATATGGTACTATTTTCTGTAGGCTGAAATATTTATAATGAAAAATGACTGCTCTTACTATAAATTTATTTTCTCAGCAGCAATTACTTTTACAGTGTCAGTGACTCTTGATTTTTGTTGTGTAACACTGCTACAGTTTACTTGTTAACTATATTTGGTAAATAGCTATTATCAAGTAAGAAGTATTTGTTGACTTTTGTATTACTAGCCCTGGGCCAGGTTTTATACAACCTAGCAGAAATATAAGACATGGATCTCTTTCTGCAAGGCTACTCTAACATTATTGGGTAGTCCACTCTCTGGCAACACATTTGAAGATACGATTACTCATAATATGGAAAGGGGCATGTGCTGTTGCTACAGGAAGACAGAGTTTGCCTCTAAGGGCTTTTTAGAAACTTCAAAGGAAAACAGTACTAGCAAGCAAAGCCCTTGCTCCTGGCCTGCATCTTACAGAGCTCTGCCCTTTGGAATGCCTTCAACCAAAATTTTTAAGGTGCTTTCTGGGAGCTAAGACCTACAGAAGCCAGCAGTGCCACCTAGACAAGGTCTATGAGCCTAGATTATAATATTTTTTCATACATTTTTGAAATATTTAGAATAATTTCTAAACTTGAAGGGAATTATTGGATAACTAGAATATCTATATCAATGTCCTTTGGCTAGTAAAGGCTGTTTTTGAAAGGAGCTACTGTTGCCAAGATAGGCCAATCCCACAAACATATATGCATAAATAACCACAAGGTAGTGACGTAATTCAGGCACTCAGGATGGTCATTGTTCACGCACTGAGTGCCATGCTTCATGCTCCATATTTAGACAATTTTAAATTGCTTAGAATTAGTGGAATATACAGCATTGCTCTTGTTTCTGTGCCAGTGTACTATAAAAGTTGCAATTGCTCTTTGAGTAATTATCACTATTGTTACTTTAATACTTTACCTTACTGCAAATGTAAAATTTTACCTATCTTAAATACTATTAAGAAAGTCCTTTCCCCAAAATTATTTAGATATAATTAATATTCCACCACAAGAAGAAACGATAATCTTTGATATTATCATCCAGTGAATTCAAACCTATATGCTTTCTGCATGTTTTAGAATCCTGGCCTGATAGTTAGTGAATGAATATGGTGATAATGTAATGTCAATAAACTAATAACTTAGTAATAGCTCTAAATTTGAAATTAATTTGTTATAATAATTAATATTTAAATTTCTTATTAAATTAAAAACGTCTTTCCTTTTACCTTTTCTGTTTTACTTTTCTTATTTGGAAGAAAGCCTAAGAAATTATTTGTGATCTCAGCTTATAAACTTCACATTTTAATGGGAAAGTAAATGACAAAATAAAATTGTGCCTGAAATAAGTGGTTCAGTCTAACGTATCTTCTATCATAACGTAAAGAAATTTTTTAGGCACCCAGCTGCCCCACTAATTATTTATCGTTTTAAAATGACCATTTTTCGCATGTTAATTTTTGTGTCATAGGCCACATAAAGATGGATAGGCTCTTGTAAAATGGCCAAGAAAAAAATTCTCTGATCATACTTGATTCTTGTAATCATCAAAGGGTATTTGCTTTCAAAAGAATTATTATACTTCCAGCTTGCCTGCCTTGGAGAATGTTAATTAAGTCCAAATTATTTTATGACAGAGATTTTGCCATTTTTAGAGACAGAATAAGTGAAGCAGAAGTAACAAAAATAAAATGAGAAATGAAAAAAATAAAGTTTGATATTTACCTGCAAATCGCTTATCTTTCAATTAAGCATTGGTTTACCTTTGCAGAAATGTCTCCATTTACAGATGCCTACTAAATAATAAGCTGTTTTCCTTTCCTGCTCGTACACAATTCAGTCTTTTTAAATCCATGCTTGTGCTCAGCACTTTCTTAAGAGCTTTGTGTTATCTCTGGTATCTAGTACTTACAAGGAATCACTTTCAGTCTGTGTGGCCCAGTTCCTAACAGTCTATCGATTCATTGAATTTCCTAAATTTCAGAAAGAGACCAATTGATTCTTTATGCTGCTTGGCAGAGCGATTCTTACTTTTTGTCTGTTTCTTCCCAGCATCAATCTTAAGAAGAAAAGGTTTTCCTTGCATCCCTCTGAAGGGTTTACTAAATCCTACATCATCAAGAACATTTTAAAGCTTTATTTTGTCTGTTATTTAAAGTGGAAAATGCTGTCCCTTAAGACACTGGCACTCTGCCATTGCCTCCAGAATATTTCATGGTTTACTGTCAGGACTGCTGCTTTTTCTAGAAGAACATATGGGCCATTTTGGAGACGTATTCTGCAATATTCAGATGCTGAACATGTTATCTATTTACATTTGGTCTTCAACAAATAATTTTTCTGGAATTTTAATATCTTATGAGTTCTTTGAAACTTTCTGAAATGTATATTGGAACATGATGGCACCAAAGGAGGCTTGTGATTTGGAAGTAGAAAGCACTACATTTCATGGGAGCAGAATTTAGTAACATTAGAATATATTCCTGTCATGTTATTATATTTCTTATTGAAGTGTTACTCTTTTAAAAATTTTTTTAGTGATTCCAAAGAGTTACTATAAAATATTGAGAGTAAGAGGAAAAAAATCTTGTGTTCTGTGATGTTGATAAATAAGTCACTGGAATGCACTAGGAGTTGGTGCACACTTGAGGATGATTGTGTCATTAAAATTGCATCCAGTCAATCTGGGAATACCTTACCTGAATTGTTCTGTAAACACTCTTCTCACTGAAACATCTATTTGGTCTGTGTGTTTTGAGTCAAAGGAATCAAACAAAACATGGTTAAAACAATTAAAATTGAAGTAAGACTACATTCTGAAAGGAAGTGCTAATTCCAATTCTAAGAGATAATTGTTTCCCACTTTTGCACAGTATTTTGCATCAATGACTAAACCTGAGCACATTCTAGTAGAAAGAGATTGATTCCTTATCTCACTATTTTACAGGATTATCTCCATACTGGTAATTCAGTGAGAGACTCATTGATTTGCTAAGTTATGGAGCTGGCTGCCTCTTAAATGAGAGCTAGTCTACAAATGGTACCATAGTGATGAAAGAAGAATGTAAAAGTAAAAGAAAACAAAACAAGGGAGTAACAGCCGTTCTAAATTGGAGACTGTTAGAGACTCCATAGTCAGAAACCTCAGCACAGAAAGTCTTTTGCCCAGGTAAATATGGAGTCTTTCCAGATCCTGAGGAGTTGAGAAATTAGGCAGAAGGACACAGGTGGTGATGGTCAGAGCAAGATAAAAAGCAAAATATTAACACATGGAAGAATTCCTGTGTCCCCCACATAAAGTATGAAATCAGAGACTTTAGTGAATATCACCTTTAGGGAAATCCAAGGTAAGTATGGCTGTGTGTCTTATAACTTCAATTATTTGATTCTTCTCATCTGCAAATATATACACCATCTTGTTGTCATCTTGACAGGAAAAAGAGAAGCTTGGGAAGGACCCAAATAGATGATATCTGGAGAATTAGCAAAATCCCTAATCAACAAAGCCACACGGGATGAATAAGACAATCATACAGACTCACTCACTACCATGGCAGGACAGCAGATGGAAGAGACAAAGAAGGAAATGACTTGCTCACTCTCATTTTCTGAAAAGGCCATAGAAAAAAGCCAAATTTTCTGAAAAAGTTTTAGGTATTTACTAAATTGATTAATGACTAATTAGTATATTTCATTTTCCCACAGACCATAATGCAATTACTTATATATGACTCACATTATATAGAAATAACATTTGTCTTTCGGATTAGTGCATTCTCCTTAAAATTTGATGAAAGAATATATAAAGTGTCTGTATTAAATCTGCAAATAGATATATTCTAAAAATGATTTTTTTTGGAAACAAGATTGCCCAAGCTGGAGTTCAGTGGCTCAATCATGGCTCACCGCAGCCTTGACCTCTTGGGCTCAAGCAATCTTCCCCCCTCAGCCTCCCAAGTGGATGGTACTACAGTCTCCCATCACCATGATTAGCTACTAAAAAGGGACTCTAGAGGAAGAAAATATATTGTAACATTTTGATACATCTACTATTAGCTACCTTCCTAACCACCACCTCCCTAGTTCTGATTTATCTGATCCATTTGATGCTTTCCTTTTTACTTACCCAGAGACTATAACTTGGAGACAGAACTTATGGTACAACACATGGAAGTGTCTCATGAGAGTGCTTACCAGATACAGACAATAATTTAAACATTTCTATTCTGGAGACACACCTTTGAATTCTGTGTTTGAATATGTGTTATAAGCAACATGTTCCACATTTACCCAAAGATTCCCAAATCCTGAAACTTATTACATAATAGAACTGAACTAATTTTAAACCTACCTCCACAGAAAGCTGAAGATAGTCATAAGATCCATGCCTAGGATGTACACACATACCTGTACTCCCTCATCCAGAAGCAGAATGATCCTCAAAATGTGAATTTTGAGAGTGAAATAATGAGAAACAGGGGGAGGGGCAGAGTCTGCTGTATTTAAGTCGGTATAGCATATTGACATCTTAGATGTTCTCAAAGGGGGTTATGTTTCCAAAATACTATGAAGACCTCGATATAGTGAAGTCTCACCTCTGACGTGGTCATTTGGTATTTTAAAATTTTTGCCCTTCACATTCAAAAGTCGTGTTTCTGATTGTGTCAGTGTATTTGTCATATCTTTGTCCATCAATAAGGCTCATGCTTGGATTGTTTATACGAGACAGACTTGCAGGGAACATTGGCAGTCAAAGAACACAGGGAGAAGGCTGTGATAACTACAGAGAGAGAATGTCACTGTGCCTTCTACTATACCCAGGCTATATGCCCCATGTTCTCACAGGGAGAGAAATTAAATGAAGAAAATAACATTAGTGAAATCTTTTATAGGCCATTAAGTCAATAAATTAAAAAATCAGTGACTTTTAAGTCTTCATTCTTAAAGGAGTACAAATGATGACTCTTGTTTTTGTGTCTAGTGGACGCAGCATCCTAGACAGCCATCAACATTTCTTTTTAGGCCAGGCATGGTGGCTCACACCTGTAATCCCAGCACTTTGGGAGCTGAGGTAGAAGGATGGCTTGAGACCAGGACTCCAAGACCTGCTTAGGCAACATAGTGAGACCTCATCTCCACAGAAAAGGAAAAAGAAAAAAAAAAAGATAGATGGCTGTGATGTCTCACATCTGTAATCTCAGCTACTGAAATTGAGGTGGGGAGGATCTCTGGAGTCCAGGATTTCAAGGCTGTAGTGAGCTGTGGTCACTTCATTGCACTCCAAGCCGGGTGACAGAGAGAGATCCTCCTCTTTAAAAAAATTATTTTGTTTTTAACAGTTTATAATGATAGTTATTTGCACTTCATGCTAGAAAGGCACAAATATGCTTCTCCATTCACTTGTGACTTAAAGGAGATAAGCTGAGTCACAGCTCAGCCCCAGGGTCCAGACCTTTTCCTTCTGTGGCATTGTACAATCTCTGCAGTACTGGGCCATAGGAGGAGCATGATGTGTAGTATTGTATCATCATGAAGCTTGTTCTTATACATTTTGAAATATCATGAGCTTTAGGCTGCTGGCAGAGAATAAACAAAGATCAATCATGTACACTGATGTTACTGTACTTAGATATCACCACTGGAAGTAATTCTTTTTTCTTCAAAGAACAGCTTTCTGGTTTTTGTTGTGTTAGTTAACACCTTTATAGGTAGGGCTCCACCGTACTTTGGTATGAATGCTAACCACATTAGAGTGAAGCTTTATGCTAATACTGCAGCTTAAGTGTTTTCTTTCCACAGTAACCACTAATCTAAAAGCTATATAGCAAATCTTGGTTGGATTGAAGTATATGGCCCAAGTGCTATAGCATGGAAGAGCCACCCTCATCTTTTATCTCTTATCCCTGTACTACTATCATTTTTTAGCTGCTAAAAGAGAAAATTTTTATTTTGTTTAATTGGTGACAATTTAAAAAATTAAATCAGTCTTCAGTATCTCATAAGGCATGTGATTTCTATACCAACATCCACTCATATATTTTAAATGGTGAAACTGGCTTCCTCTTTTACATGCTTAGAAGAGACCCTAGCTTTGACTTTTTATGCCTTCAAATGCACTATGAATCATCCTGCCAAACTCCTGCCCTTCATGTGAATGATATATTTTATTTACACTCTTAGAAAAAAATCTATGCATGGCCATTATTAATCACTCACACCTTTAAGAATGATCTTACCTTTTAGCCATTCATCAAGATCTGTATCCTTCCTGTTAGAAAGAGACACATCATAACTGATGTACAATCAAACTGTAGATGGGTTCAAGTACACAGCTATTACCAGAATAGATGCCTCTTCATTTTAGGATTACATATACATGCACACACACACACTCAAGTCTCTGTATGCTGTATCCGTTTTGGCAACTTTCTTTAAAATACCAAACTGCTGAAACTACGTGTTAGCTGTTAGGTAATACATCACTATGATATTGAAGAACAGCAGACCATTTCCAAAGGTTGCTCTCATCTGGAGCAAGGCTAATAAGACGTTGGATGAGTAGAATTAATGAAGATTCAAAGATCATGTCTATGATTTTTTTACAAAAGCAAGAGAAGAAAAAAATGGCTATTTAGAACTTTTAAGTTATCTCTGATTGTGTACTAATCTCAAGAGAAGATTTTATAATTGAACGATATCACCATTTAATAATCAAGAAAATACTTTTTTCTATATTCAGTAATAGCTGTGATACATGTTTTCATTAGTGAAGAAATATTAAAAGCAGCCATAAAATGTTTTAAAATAATCTCACTTTTTGGTGGACATTCTCATGTGCCTCTGAAAATGTTGATTGGATATTGGAGATGATGCTCATGTCATCCCAAGGGGTAAACCAAACCAAACCAAACCAACCAAACCAAACCAAGCTTGACATATCTTTGATTCTCTCTTTTTCTTTAGATACTATATGATTTTGTATTGCAATGAGAATTAGAAAAGTCCAAAAGTTCAGATAGCTTCTAAAAATATATTAAGATAACATAGCAAAATGAAGTGGAAAGTGCTTTAGAGTTAGAGTCTTCTTATGCAACATCTGTTTGCAAACATGTGTAACCTTAGAAATATCACTGAAATAAATTTATCAAGAGAGAGACATTTAACTACACAGGTAGCACTTTAAAATTACAAGATCAAGAAAAACATTGCAGCAAAGCTTTAAATCTCAGAAAATGATAAGTACTTCCTTTCCATCAGAATGTTTAACTCCCTGGGCATTAAGGAATTACTCAACAGAAAAGAAAATAACCCTAGAAGAAAATGTAGCCAGCAGTAAAGCTGCTTACAATTTTTAATGGGCCCTAATATATATATAGTAGAAAGGCAAATGATTCTATACTCACTCCAGAACTTGTCAGGAATTTCTAGATTCTTAAAATTAAAAAATTCTTTAATTTTTATTTGCTGGCATTAAAATCTTCCAAAGAGAAAGGTTGGGATATTAAGTCTATCATGGGGAACTTTCTTACTAATTTCCTGACTTCATAAAACGCAGATCTGCAAGACACAAGATCTAGTCTTAATTTAGACCTTATAAGTAAACACCAGTGCAAAGAAAGGCAGTCCCATGGTAGAATTTACTACAAGTAACAGGGATATCTATCTAACTATCTGTCTGTCTGTCTGTCTATCTATCTATCTATCTATCTATCTATCTATCTATCTATCTATCATGTTACTGTCTATCTATCTAATCTGTCTCACTAATAAGTGTCTTAAACACAGCATAGCATTCAATCTTTCTTAAGCTATATTTAGTGATTGCTTACAATGTGCCTGATGTTGTTTAGAATATTGATGGGAATAAAAACGTTGCAATTAAAGGTTCCTTTTTTTCAAGGAGCTCACAGTCTAGGTATAGGAGACTGATGAAAATAATAACACTGTCATGTGACCTGGGCCACAGTATAGATGAGGATACAATGTTGCTGGAACATTAAGTATAATTCTTCAGAATTATACTCAATGTGGATTTTAAACACATTGTGGAAAAGCTATCCTACTTCTTTTAAAAATATCTTTCTGAGAGTCTATGTAATTCTGTGATCTCATATATTGTGCTGCTTTAAAAAGAGCACCCCACTTTTTTCATCTCAAACTGGCAGTCTCATTCAATGAGGATGCTACTCTAAGTCATGATGAATTCAGAGCAGCCAGATTCATTTTCTCCATGTTTCAGGAAGACAAAGACAAAGACAAAGGAATACTCCTTTAGGATCTGGATCACGTTAGCCTGTTACATCTCAACCATCAAACCTGCCCAAGATGCACCCAGATTAGTCAATAAGCAGATGATTAGAGATAAAACCTCTCATCTTGGGATAAATTTAATCCAGGCAGCATGTGCTCTTTGGTCATTTTATAAATATAGCATTTTAGAACAGCATTCTCAGAGATCCAGCAGTGCATATCCAGCATTGTAGCTAAAATATTCAAATAGAAATAAAAATAACTCCCCAGAAAGTCGCTGGCACTCATGTTTCCGTTGGAGAATAATTACAGAAGTCAGTTTAAAAGCTAGCATAAGAGATGTCGAAACACCACCTCTCACCCCCACAGAAATGCTAATGACTAGTTGTATTATAGACTTAAAGAAAAGGTTCCAAAACCTTCTCTTTCCCGGCTTTATGGAGTCAAAATTACTGGCCATTCCCAGGCTCTTTGGAAGAGAACAGAGATTCCCTGGACAGTGAGGAGATCCATCCACATACCTCTTAGGGCAGAAGAATGTATCCCTGAAGGGTTAGTATTTATAACTCTGTTATTTTCTAATCCTATTACTGTAATGTTTAGGTGAATTGAATATATTTCCTTATTTATCTCTGTGCAATCTCATTTATTTCCTGCAATAATGACTTTTGGCTGACCCTACAATTTTGCTTCTTCAATGTTTAAAAAGAATATACACAAAATTTAGGTAAAATCTGTTTATAATAACATGGAGTACTGTCCCCTTAGGATGCCTGATGACAAAGCTGGTGATACAGTGACTACACATCCAGCCCATGATTTCGTGTATTTTATTAACCTAACTTATTATTACAACAAAATCATGGTTTCCACTGACTACATATTCAGCACATACATATTCACACTAATGTGTGTGTTTATATGTGTGTGTGAAGTAGCTACACAATGAGTTATTGAATTGTGTGTGGAAAATATGCTAGGCAACTGCAAATTACAAGGATTTAATGCCATCAAGGGGTTCAATGGTGACATCATAAATCAACAGAGCAAGGTTTAAACGGACTGTGGTTCCCCACAACTCTAAGATTCTCCTGGAGCTATGATTTTAAAAGTCATCTACTCTCCCACCATCATTCCCTTATACATGGATAATTTGTGTTATAATTTTCATCTTCTCAAATTCTCTCTACTTTTCCTCACCAACTTCAAACCTTTTTAAACCCAGAAAGAATCTGTTGTTCCCCCCTGTGCTATTAGAGCAGCTATATTTAAATGTAATACCTGAGTGTCCCAAGTTTAAATCTAACAATTCTAAAAATCTTGCCATTCTGGGCTAGGTGTCACACTCATGCAATATGACAGACAGGTGACAACACACCCAAGAATTAAGAGATTTTCTCCTCTTGAATAATAATGTGCTTCATGCACATATCCCCTTTTCCTCTGAGACTAGGAAATCTAATTACATATATATAGTACCCTGTTATAACTGCAAACATAAAATTAATTTTACAGTTTTGCTTTTTATTCATATCTGAAGTTCAGAGAATTCAAGTAATGTTCTAATTATTTCTTATGTCCTAAATAATTCCCCTTTCTCTCTGATGGAGTCTTATAGGGGAATATATTAACATAAAATAATAACTGGCCCAAATTTTGTCCAAATTTAAATATGTCCTAGCAAAGCCAGCCCCATCGTAATTGCTTTTATGTGTCACTTTAAAGCTAAGAGACCCAACCTCCTGGCAGCTTTGCTTTGGGTCTTAATTAGCCACTTAACTGCAAATTGGTTGGCACCCTAGTCCTTTCATCAGTTATTACCCAAATAGCATCACGGACTTAGGATAAAGAAAAGAAAGATCCCACATGTAGCAGGTCTTTCCATCATTATTGCCCTTTAATACAAAGAGGGGGGGTTCCCAACTCTAATTAAGGCTACGTTTCCAATAGGTAATTGGCATCTTATTTAACTCACTCTCAGTGCGATGTCTTAAAGGGAAAACAATCACAGTAATGTGTGGACAGTGCCATGGAATTTACAAAATATTTTCACCTACTTTATTACTTTTACATAGTGTCTGATATAGACACATATGAATCAATATGTTTTTATTGGTCACCATGATTTAAGATGTAGATTTTATTTCAGTCTTTATTCCATTTGCCTGCATATCCATTAAGTTATTGCATACAATTAACTAAGCCCATTTCCAATATATATAAAAGGGAGTTAACATCTTTATTGTTTGTCACACTTCTAGAAAATGAGCTCACTGAGAGATATACTATATGGATTGGTCCTCATTGATAAAGCAAGCCTAAGTGGTTACTGGGAAGAAAAGTCACCACCTTCAAAGAAGACTTGAATTAGTTATGAAAGAGCAATTAGTTATGGGAAAAGAGCAAGAGAGGCTTTGTTCTGTGAATATAGAAATAAACGTATAAGTGAAAAAGAGACTATAGATATAGGTCAGATCCCAAGATTTTCAAAAGTAAGATGAGAATTTGAAAAAAATGTGAGTCTAGAAAATTATTTAGTGTTTTAGCAGAATAGCATCAAGTGATGCTTTACATACAATATTACATAACATACTTTGTTTCTGCTAGAAAAGAAAGTAAATAATAATGGTGCCTTCTTCATAATCAACACTGCGTGTGTTGTATGTTTAAACCATCTTTTTATTCTAGTCCCCTTAACTTATCCTGTAATACCTTTTATATTTTTTAAATACAGGCACTCTTTTCTATTCTGTTGTTTTAAGTCATTGTATTATATTTGGTGAAGTAAACTTGAACCTCTTCTGCCATTCTAAAAGACAGAATGGTTAAGAATTTGCACATCCCAAATTTCCTCTGCTCATCACAGCTTCTGGAGCTGACAGCTAAATCTGCAGGCTGACCAAGAGTAGAATTATTTCAGGCTGTGTGTTGCTGAAAACTTGGAAATAGTGAATTATGTTTATGAGATTCATTTCTAAACTGTACCAGAGCTTATAAAATATTAGTATTTATAATAACTTGTAACAACAAACACAGCATGGAGGCAGCTGTTTCATCAGAGAATGAGCCACAGTGATCTCAGACATTTGTCTATTTATCATGGATTGGATTTCCTTGGCAAACAGTTCAATAAGGAAGACAAGCACACCAGCACAACACTGTGCTTGACACTGCCCAATATTCTGTTCAAAGTTATGTTGAAATTTTCCCCTACCGTCACCCAAAACCCTTAGTACCTATATTTGGTAAGCCTGTTGCCTTTCAATAGAAATCTGAAGACTCTTAATGTGAAACTGAGGTTAAACGAAGTAAGGCTTTTGATAAAATGCAAATAGGAGGTATTTTGGAGAGAACGCAGATATTTTTCTTTTTGGTCACTATAGGCAGTATATACGAATAAATCCCCAAAGGAGCAGACGCATGCTTACAGAAAGGATTTGAAAGAAATGTCATTACAAATTATTTTGCTTTAGCAATCTAAAAAAAACCCTGTTCCTATAAAAGATGAGTTATTAACTCTGGGAACCCTGGAGCTTTTTTTCTCCCATTATATGATTATAGAGTATCCCATTTTATGTAGATTATGCGTTTGAATTTTTCCAATGAATTCTCTTCCCTAAATAAAAATGTAACAATCTCCTGGAAGAAGCATGATAATACTGTAATTTCTATGAACGACTCATCTATTGAAAGATTTTATTTTTCTAGATCAAACAAAAAAATGAAGCACTTTACTTAGTGTCTTTCACATACTAGGTACTGAATAAAATGTCTGAACAAACAAAATACATGGGAAGAAAGAACTAGATCTAAGAAGAGAATAATTCTAGTTAATGCTGCATGGTTCCATCTTCATGAATATTATATCAACCACTTCAAAAGGAAAAGCATTTTATTTCTGTTTTCCACCAAGAGCCTTGGATAAAGGAGTGTCCACCTGAAATTTGTGTGCAGCCAAAAATGTAAAAAAAAAAAAAAAAAAGAAATCTTGGTTATGTCTGAGTGTTGAATAGGCTTTGCATGTGGTAGGAATTAGCCTGAAAAATGAAATGGACAGTCTCTTTCTTGCCCTTTAGATAAGTTTATCCTGGCCACAAAACACATTCCAGGGTTTTTCTAATTTCCTTATTGGTGGGTTCTTTGGGGTGAGCAGCCACAACAGTTGGTCTAGGTGAGCAAGTCAGGACTACAATGCTTCAAGTCTCTTGGGAGATGTAATTTTTATACCAAAATGGAAGTTATTCAGGGTGTTTTCTTTCCCAGCTGTTTTTAAGCAGACAGTATGCTGACCACCCAGGGGATAAGACTGGGATGGGTGGAAGTGGAAGAAACTGTTCAATGACTCAAAAGAAAAATTGCCAGTTTTTTGGGGAAAGTTGTATCATGGAAAAAGACCATGAAATCCTGGTCTTAAATGATTTGTTTTTATTTTTTACTCTAGTTTCTAAATCTCTCTCCTATGAGCACCCCTTCTTTGGAAAGAAAAACATTATAGAAGGCCAGCACTCAGAGATGCTGTAGGAAAAGTATGTATTATATTTATGTCAAGTTCACAGAATAAAGACAATGGGTGATCTCATCTCTTAGTTAATTTTAGTTTGTTTTTTCCACCCTATTTTGAGTGGTATTGAAAATGCAATGAATAATTTACTATTAATTGAATAAACTTATGCAAGCTATTTTATCCTCGTAATTTTATAAGACTGGATTTACAGAACTGACTTGTATAAATAAACTATCCAGTAGAATTACTACTTCAAAACTAATGAAAGATTGGAAGAATCTGATTTGATGGTTTTGTTTTAATCAATAATGAATTTGTAGGTTTTCCTGATATAATTCATCCTTGGCTATATGGTGAACAGAACTAAGTTGACCAGGTTGCCATTAAGAATAGAAACATAATGATTTTTACGATGTTGCTTAGAATATAAACATCATGAGATTAGGAAAACAAGCTTTTTCACTACTGTATTTCTAGCACTCAGAACACTTCCTGACAAATATTAAAATAAGCTATTTGCTGAATAAATGCACCTAAGTCCGTGATTCCTCTGACCAAAGAGATAAACTGTAAAACTGAACCAAATAAAACAAAATCACACACAATCAAGAATTCCAGAGGCAGATCCAGATCACAGAAATTTGAACATTTTAGTAGATTGTCCAGTAATTTTGGTCATCATCTAATTTCAGTAACCACCAACTATTATACAGCTTGGTACCATGTATTAGAATCCAAAAATAAGTTCACAGACATGTATCTCATTTAAAAAAAGAATTTGATTGTCTTTAAAAGAAGCACATTCAATCTGATTCATTAAATTTTTATATCACCCTATCACTGTCCACTAGTTCCATTTTATTAATTTTCTTTATTTATCTGGCCACTGAAGACATTTTGGTTTCCATTTCCTGAATTTTACATGCTTATAACTTAAAAGTTTTGACAGACTCTCAATTTATATGAAGGTTTAAATTTGATCCTTATTTTTCATTATTTTGTTTTTATATTTCTTACAGGAAATGGAGTAAATTTTTAAGATTAAAAATAGAAATATCAAGAAGAAACTTGAAATAGATGTCCTTTAACATACCCTCCAACTATGAAATATATGAGGCCACTGAGGATAAAAGCCTCATGTGTTTAGTACATTTGTCAGGTCTCTAATATCACTTTTATGGAGGGGGGTATGCAGGCGACACACAAAAAAGAAGTTTATGCCTTGAAGGCCTGAAACAAATCCGCCTTCAGATGAAGAAATCTCATGCTTTATCTTAGAATTTAATGTTGCTTAAAAAAAGAGGCATACTGAAAAATGATATTTATCTCTTTCAGGTTGTCAGTGTGATAGGGGACCCAAAAATTCCTTTGTGGTTTGAAGGACTCTTTAAGGCTTCTTGAACTGGTTTTTGCTTCTCTTCTCAGCCTCATCTCTTACCATCTCTCTGAACTTTTATCCAAACTATTTTCAGTTGCTGAAACAGACCATGAGCTTTTTTACGTTTGGAGTATCAGTCACAGGCAGAGAAGTAAAGTTGGAGAATTAGAAATAAGGGAGCATTTTCTTACCTTCTCTCATATTGATACTACCGCCTAGAATACTTCCCTCACCTTCTTTTCTTCTCTAATTCCTCTCCTAGATTCTAAGATTCTAATAAGAAGTAATTGCTTATGCCTGAAGGAAACAGAGTTTCAATTTAATCCACCTGTCACCGAGTGTGTGGTCGCTTTAAGAAATGGTGCTCTACCACAGGTTCAGGTTAAGTTCCTACTGCTCGTAGACATTAAGAAATGACAATAACTAGAATAGCTTTGGTGAGGAGAAGGTCATGCATAGCCTCCAGCCCTGCCACCATGACTATTCTGTTCATGGTTCCATTGCACAAGCACATTTAGTAGTCAAGAAAACAAGCTGGCTGATATCCACAGGACAAGTCATCCTATCCATCTGTTACTGAGTGTCTACTCTGCACTCAATATGGTGGACATTTTTAGGTAAGGATTAATGGGGTACACAAAGAGCTACAGGCTTTCTACCTATCCTCAAAGCCTATCTTTATCTATACTCAAGCCTTCCTTATCTATAATTCTCCAACTTTACTTCTCTGCCTATGACCAAGGTACTTCCCACTATCCATGAGTTCATATCTTACCATACCTCAGGTCACTTTTCTCTATTATGTGAATGACCAAGCCTACTGCTTTTATCTCTGCCAGTGTAAGCTTTCCCTTAACACTGTCCTTTAGACACATTCTGAGTGGAAATGTAATATAATGGCAGTCCATTTTTGACTACCACCAACATATATGAAAAGCCCCAAATTCTTGTATTCTTCGTCATTTGGTTGTAGCAAACCCCTACCCATGCAATAGGTCATAGTGAGCTGAAGGACAAGTGATGTATAAAGTGCTGTCAGGATGCATATACATGATGCTGGTCAGAGCCCATTCAGAGCAACCGACTCAGAGGCAGTACTACAATGTTTGTTGTTTTTATAATCAGCAGGATACCATCAACATTGATGGAGAAAATGAACTATTTTGAGATGTTAAGGAAAGTAAATCTTTAGGAACTTTCTAAATGGAGGGAGATGAAATTAAAATGGCTGTAGGAGATTGGAAGAGAATGCTTATGGGATGGCTTCTAGGCAAAGCATGATCAACAGATGTAGTCAATGTAAGAAACTGTGCCCCAGAAAAGAAGGAGGGATAACAGGGTAAGGGATGAGGACAGGGAATTCTGACAGTTTTGAAACAGAGTGTAAACATCTACGTGGCACAGAATCCCCTGGAAGACCTAAGGAGCGAGGAGAGTAGTGATACTCTTAAGACTGCTTTTTTGCTGATAACTAATTTATAGCAGTTCTTATGGATTCTAAGTACAAGCTTTTGCAGTGAGAGCTGTAAACTTCAAATCTAGTTACAAGTGCTCTAGTTCTGTCTTTGCCACCTTGAGGTTTTCTCTTTTTCTGCAGGGGGGGTGGGGGGCAGGGAGCTACAAATGTGAGAGACAGTGAGAGATAGCATAGAAGGACTCCAACCCTCTTTCATGCTCAGCCACTATGCAGTTACGATTGCAAATTAGAACCATAGGATTCTGTGAATATCCCAAACGGGTATCCTCAAAGTCTGACAAAAGACAGTTATGGTGTGAGATGTGAGCAATGCTATACAAAACATAAAATAAATTCATTAAATGTGCAAGAGATTAGATAGCTAAGTGATTAGACAGCAAATAGTGTAATGGAGATAATATTTTTCATTAGCGTACAGGGTAAAAACTACAAAAAACACTGTATTTTAATAATGTCTGGTTAGGGATGTCTGTAAGGCATTCCATTTGACTGGAATGAGAGAAAATGTGAAGAATAGCAGATAGATTTTGGTGATATTTGCATGTAGATGTGTCTGGTACCTGGATCCACATGAGTATTTAAAGCTGCTTAAAATCTTTACCTAAGCATCTTAAGTTGGAGTCACATGAAACTTCCTTTACAAATGAGTTGTATGAGGTGAAGTTGAAGGAAATTCTGAAAGAGCAACTGAGTAGTCAAAACAGCAACACAAAGCAAAACAAAAAACTGTGGAGCTGTTAGGTGATTGAGGGGCTTAAGAACACCCAAGAGTAATAGTTTAGTCTTGCTAAGATTGAAGCGACATGACAAAACCATTGTTTCATACAGAAATTTATATTAGTGACATATAGTATGACAGAAAAAAAATTGGACAGCTTTTTATTCAACATTTCAGTATGCAAATTAAAAGTAGCACATCTAAAACATTGCTTTTGCTCTTTCCAAAACTGCTATCAGTCTGATGTGGGAGGTCCTCTAACTATTCTATCATGAGACTGACCTGATTGTGATCTGAACTAGTCTTATCTTATGTCTAATAGAATGACTAGCTATCTTTTTCACAGCACTAGCTGCCCCCTCTTTCTTTTTAACATTTTTGATGTAATACTGTGTAAACAATATTTTATTTGTGCATGAATTCAGGTTAGACGGCATTAAATCAGAGAAGAGTTCAAACATTGTTTTTGTTCAAAAGATGTGTCAGTGATGGGATGGCAGATGACTCCGGTATGCAAATATTTTGGCTCTCATGGAAACAAGATGAATTCCAGCATAAACTACTTCCACTTGCAGAATTATCTTAATAAAAATAAAGTCATATTACTTTTTGGCTCACTTTTTTTTATAAAGACACAATTTTCTTTATTTCAGTATAATGGCTCTGAGATGCATTCTCCATGACTAAGGTTAAGCTGGGGGATACAGATGGAACACTGTACTATAAAACCGTAGTTTCATCCATCTGGATAAACTTCTATGCTACTATTACCCATATGGGAAATTGCAAAGAGAGCAGAAGTATGACTTTCATTAGATTTGTAATATATATTAAAATAAAGCAGAGATTATCTATCAATTTGTTTATCATTTGGACAAAAGAATGTGCCAATCATCCAACTATATACATTTCCATATACAATTGAATACCCTAGATATTTACATCTGGATATGTTGTCTTGTGTAAAATTCTTTTAAAATGATCTATAGTTTTTATTCTGTTCTTTTCTTCCCGCAAGTATGGCATATTGTAAATTGTCTCAAAGAGTCTTGTTACAATGTTTAGTTCTTTAATCTCATGTCAGACTGAAGGTTAGTTTGACCCATATTAAATAAGGGTAGAAAAATAGAAGAGAAGACATTGGTGATAAACAGTGTTTAATTCCATTTTGGAGGAAACAATCAACTCTCTTTCCATAGGATAAAGCTGAAAATGGCAAAAGCTCACACAAATATACAGTGCTGTATCATTCTCAGGTTAATAAAAACAATTTATATGCAGGGTAGTGAACAAGAGAAAAGTTATGGAAAACATTTCTCAACCAAGGACAGTGTACCAGATGTGCTAAGACTTATGGGAGCAATCAGAGGTGACCAACTCTCTGTGGCGGGCCTTATTAAGTTAGACTGTGACCCAGCACCTTCAACTTATTAAAACGTCGAGAACTTCAGTGATTAAAACCAAAGATAGGTCAGATACAAACCTTCAGAATGTCCCCGCTCTGATATTTTCTTATAGGCATTAGGCCCTCATGGAGATGCTTCTCTTGATCCCTGGATTTTAAAAAACTAGATATTTGAACTGGAGTTACCCATAATTTGAAGGTAATTTTAGTACAAGATGCTTCTTCAGTTTTTCTCAATAGTTTCACTACCTAAAGAAATATACTTACAAGGTAGTTTTTGCATGTCATCAGAACTGTGATCAGAGGAGCAGATTCATGGGTATCTCAACACATTCAGTTAGGTCCTATATGAGAAGTGAGAGTGTAGCAACAGATAGAGATGCTAGGAATAAACTTTCAAAATCTTACAATTAATGTATGTAAAAGACATAATTAAGTTAACACCAGTTGAAGATTTAATACTGCACCAATTCATATCCTAGGCTTTAAATATTGTATGAAATTAGTTAACTTTTCCCTGTCCTGGGCTCTTCCTCTCCTCCAAATGTATCTATCTCTATAATATGATAAATAGATATAATAAACTCTGAGTGCTCTTGTATGTAAATGTATAGATGTATATGGGTATCGTGCATACATAAATAACTACTATGTAGGTGTTTAAGATTATGCTAAATGTTACCCTTCCTGTTGTCTTGGAGATTAAGCAGAAGTCTCAATTTAATATACACCAAAACCCTGGACATCAGGAAGCTGCTGCATCACCTCTACAGCATGTGCAAAAAAACATTGTGAAACTGGATCTGCAAGCTTTAGCCTGTTGTTAATCTCTAGGTTACAAAAGAGAAGTTGTAAGGTCCATTTACTCCTCTAATCCCACCCCTCCTCTTTATGGTATTTTCTCTTACCTCTTTGCCAAGAAAAGGGGTTGTCTTCAAGAGAAGAGTTTTATAATTTGAAGAGTTTGAAGAGCTTTACAATTTCCTGGAATGTAAGGACCATACGACCTGGCCACTGCTTTTTGTAGGAGAATTCAGAAGGCAGCACAGCACTAGAGAAAGGGCAGAATAGAAAGTAAGCTACAACTCCATCCGGTGACAAGGGCCAATGGGAACAAAGGGAGCCTTTCCCTCTTGAGGTATTGGACCATTTCACAGAACCACCTGTGGGGCAAGGCACAATGCAGAGGCTGAATTGACACTAACAGAGGTCCTTGGAGGAGGAGTCGATGGCAGCCAACTGCAGGAAGCTTCTCAAAACCTGCAAAGCTCCTTATGAGAGAGTGGAGAATTCACTAAGGGAGAATTCATTCACTAATGGAGAGTGTTTATTCCTTCTCTTTATCTCATGATTTCAGTGAGCTAGAGAGAAATGTAAATTTTCATAGAAATTTGCAGTTAGTTGATTTTTGGTTGAATGGACTTTTATCTAAACATAATATTAAAATCTGGGGAATCTGTCTAACATTTTTGTTGAGGCATTTCTATATACTGCTTACAAGAATGTAAATGGGAACAAACTTTCTGGGGGAAAAATGGTAATGTACATTAACAATTCCCCAGAAACTCGGATTCTTTGGCCTTTTATTTTTCTTTCTATAAACCGCTCCCTAGAAAACTAATGAAAATTCAGACAATAGGATGCATTGTAATTTTATTTCTAATAATAAATATATATAAATGACTTGTATTTAATAAGAGAATGGTTACATATGTTACAGAATATCTGTTATTGGGGAGATGCTACATAACTATTTAAATTGTTATTTTTGGAGATTATATATGGTCATATGATAAAAAAGTTAAGTGACAAAGTAAGACGCAAAATTACATATTTTCTGTAATATCAATTTAAAGTATTCCTGGCCATATGAAATATATATATACTTAGATAAAAAGATTGAAACATTAAAATATTAACAAGCATTAAAATTGATGGTTGGAGTGTGAATGGGTGATTTAATAACTTCATTTTACTTTTCTAAATTTTTCAAATTAAATTAACATTGTATTGTTCTTATAATTAGAAGCCACAAAATATGATGTGATTTATTTTGGTGAGTCAACAAGCAACATTATTTTTCTTGACTTACCATGTTGATAATGCTAGCATAATAGAACACGCCTAAAATTCCGTAATTCAATATATTTTATCGCACTAATTCCAAGCCTTATTTTAAAACTATACTTTTATATAATGATACAACTTTAGATGAGTGAGCAATCTCACCAAAAAAACATAGATTTGCTGTAGTTTCTTAAAAAGTGTTTTTGAATACTTTTGAATCTTTTCTAGTCAAAAACAAATGTTTTTTTACTGATATATTATTTTATATATAAGATTTTACATATTAAGATAGTTGATTATGTTCTTTAGACAGTCATCGTATTTCATTCCCTACAAATCTTAAATCCCTGCCTTTCTAATATGCCTATCATGAAGAAGAGTGTTTTGGAATTCAAGTACTTGAACATGAAAAGTTGCAGCTCATTGCATGTGAGAAAACTGCATAGAAAAGCGTTGTCTTTGTATGGAGACACAAAGCTCAGATCACTTTTCAGATTCCCACATGTTCCTTTTTTTTCCTTGATCAATATTCTGCCTCTGTTGTTCTCCCATTCACTTTTTGACTTGAATGAAAATCCTCACCACACGTCTTCCTGTATGGCTATGCAAGGGTTGGAAGATGTAGCTTGGAAGTGTGAGGAACTTGCTGTATGTGAAGTGAACCTTGACCAGTACATAACAGGGGACCGAAAGCAGTCAAGGTACATTAACTTCTTCCTTTTTCTTTCTTTTTTCTTGCGAAATGCTTACTTTTTTCTTGCAAAAGTTACAGACAAGTTCTGAGTACCAAATAATGCAAGACTAGGTAAGTCACCATGTCTTTTTGAAGCTCATTGGTAAACAGTGACGAGCGTGGTACAACATCATAGCAAACTAGTTTCATTTTCCTTTGTCTTACTTCTTTTCTCTCACCTTCACATGACATCAGGGTTAGCATCTCCCAAAAAGTTTTAATCACTGCCTTTTGCTTTTCTTTCTTGAAGAACCAGTTTAAGATACTTTCCCCTTGAGATGATTTCTCCTACCACATGTAGACTTGGTGTGGCTTGGGCCATCAGCATTTTGAGAAAAAGTTTTGCTACTAAACTTGCCCTTGCTATTGTTTTGGAAGATAAAGGGAAAAATAAAAGGATCTGAAGAATAGGAGCTTATTTCTTTAGACACCTAAAATTGTGACAGAAAAGATTATTCTGTCCAAGTCAATTCTCAGGTTGTGGTAGTAATCATAGGACTCTGCCAGGAAGAAAAAGAGAGTTAGCCCACTATGGCCTAGAAAAACATTGTTGCCTTCAAATTCATTATTTTGAAGATTGTATAGCACAGTCTAGATTGCATGAAAATTGAGATTTTCCACTCAGTAGATGATCTTACATATATTGTCCGAAACTCAGTCAACAACCCAAGACCTTTGTGATTATAAGCAAGTTTAAACTGGATTCTATGCATTGGGATATTTTATATCTGAAAATATTTGCATTAATCCCAGTAGCTGCCCTGGATGGATTTGGAAAATCACAGTAACTCAAGTGTGGCTGTGTGAAGTTAAGTGAATGTGGCAATAACTTTGCCATAAAAATTGAAGTTGGAAATGAGTATAAACATTGACCATTAAATTTAGGAGATAGTTTATAATTTGGTGAATGAAAGTGCCTATGAGGTGTTAAAACTGAAAGAATGCATAAATGTTGTTATTGATGTAAGTGTGGCTTAGCTAATTGAAGCCGCATTTAAAACAATTTCCAGGTTCAACTAGTATCAATAATAATGAAAGGTCTATACGGCATTGAGAAAAATTCTTCTGAGCCTTTTTTGTGTTCTAAATGCTCAAAGATTATCTTTTGTTATTAACAGGATTTTGATGGTAAAGATATTTTGACATCCAGAAAGGTCTAAAACAACCATAATATCTACATTTTTTGGTGAATAAATGTAAGGACTCTAATGTGACTAACTGGACATTCAGTTACCATTCATGTTCATGAATCATATTTCTTTCTAAAGCAAGAGATTGGTTCCATGGTAGCAGAATACATTAATAAAATACTTTCATTTTAACCTAAGAAAAAAATAAACTAAGCAGCATATGTGCCAAAAAAAGAAAAAAAGAAGAAAAGAAAGACAACAATATAGAAAATTAAAAAATTGCATGGTTCAACCTAAATCTTGGTAGAAATATGCAGGAAAGTAAACTCCCTCCAATGAAACCATCAGAATATGCACACCAGACAACATTTCCTTTTATAAAGTGTGTCTGTGGTCTTCACAGCATGTTCTGGGTTATTTTTTATAAATAAACAAATATTCAATGAAAATAATCACTTTGTTGAATTTCAAAATCATAAAAGTAATGTAATTTTTAGTGTAGAGCAGAAAACATGCAAAGAAAAGCATACTAAGGGAAACAAAATTTGTAAGACCGTGAGAGCCACTGCTATTGGTTCACAATTTTTTTAATATGTTCACAAACGTATACACCTGAATAATGATAGGACTATATAAGCAGTGATGTATTCTTTTGTGTTTTGTTTTTAGTCATCAATTTTCTCTATATTTTCTCAACTTACTTTTCTTTGAAAATTCCATTTTTAATGTCTCATATGAGTAGTTCATATGGATATAGCTTATCTTATTTACTCACTAGCCCAATGGTGAATATTTAGGTGATTTTTCCATTTTTGTAGTAGAGAAAACTCTGTACTGAGAATGATCTACATACTATTTTTTTTGTGTGTATGAATCTCTTATTCTTTCATGAGAAGTATAATTACTGGGTCAAAGGGCTTAAACAACTTAAATTTTTTGATATATATTTACTAAATTATTTACAAAATGCTATCTGATGTATTTTCCATTTATATTTTTGACTATTCATTAATGTTTAATTTTTTATTTGTTAGCAATTTGTATTTATTATTTTTGAGTCTTAATGTCTTTACCTATTTTTCTGTGCAAGAATTTATATTATGTATTGGGTTATAAGGACTCTTTACATTTAAGGATTCTTACAATGGGTGTGCTAGACCTGAATAAAGCTGAAAAGAAAAGGACCTACTTCCAAAAGCTTATTTTAGCATTCAAAGACAGAAAATAAATAAGCAAACAAGAAAACAAGACTTTTTTTGTTTCTGACAAACACATTCCTTTGCATCTGACATTTTAGATAGTGGGATAAAAAGTGTGTTGATGCCTTCACTAATGTGGCCAGAACATGATAAAGTTCTCTAGTTTCTGAAGTCTTTATTCTACTTTATTTTTATTTTATTTTGTTTCATTTTTTGAGACAGAGTCTCGCCCTATCACCCAGGCTGGAGTGCAATCGCGCCATCTCAGCTCACTGCAACCTCTGCCTCCTGGGTTCTAACAATTCTTCTGCCTCAGCCTCCTCAGTAGCTGGGATTATAGATGCCCACCACCTCGCATGGCTAGTTTTTGTATTTTAAATAGAGACAGGGTTTCACCATGTTGGCCAGGCTGGTCTTGGACTCCTGTCAAGTCTTTATTTTAAATAGATATATAGTTTTATAGATTTCCAAATTTTGGTCTTGCCCATTTCTTGTTAATTTTTTTCTTTTGGGTGAGGTCTCTTTGCATTATGTCTCCTAGCTGGTTATAGCAAGCGACTTTTCAAGTACGATATTGATAATTTGAGCTATTATTCCAATGTTAGCAAAAGGGTGAGCCAATTACCACAGAGCGGTACTCAAAATTTTCTGTGAGTCCCAGGACTGTTTCCCTAACTTCCTAAGCTCATATTTGCTGCGGAGGTGTTAGAGCTGGAGAACCTGTTGATGACCAAAAAGCTTATGTCTCTTGATAGCTTATTTCTTGAAATTATACTAACAAACTTATTCTTTATCAAACACCTTAATTTGTGTCTTTGGTTTCTACTCAGAATTAATAAACTTCAAAAAGGTATTTATACATTCTAAACACTCACTTAATATTACCCAAGTTGTATTATAGTTTTTGAATTTATTTCCACATAGATTTTCACTTAAAGAAGAAGAAAAGGTTGATTCATCATGACTAGATAACACTGAAGAAGACTGAGAAACTGCCTTTGCTTTCTAACTTTGCACTTGGCCGGGGAGGGTGTGAGAGGCTATATGATCAACTGTTAACTGTGGGAGCAATCCCCAGGAGCCATCTCTCTTTCTGTCTTACTGAGTATCTACCTGTGGATTTCCATGACACTAATTACCACATGGGGGCTCTGACAGTTCACATTAACCCAGGGAGAATACAAGAGTCAAGGAGAGGCATTCTCATATAACTCCCCTAAAGGTCTGCCTAAGGTTAACAGGTAAAGGTTTGAGACATTTTTTCTTCCAGGCATTCAAAATATTAACTACAGTATTGCATTTTTACAGTGCACTAATATTTTTTGATATAGTTAATGTTTCCTACTAAATCTGAAGACTGACTATTTTGTGTTTTGGGGTCAATCCTATATGCTTATTATTATATTTTGTTCATGGGCTTAGTTGAAAAAAGTTTATGTAACAGAACAAGAGAGAATATTGATACCATTAGTTTTTTCCTCCCTATGCACCAACAATCCAACTTAAGGGTAGAGATAAATTTTTGCCTTCGTATAGCCTGCCTCAAACCATCACCAAGTGCCCTCCATATACAAATCACTTGCTTCTGTATATTTTTGTATCATTTCATGTTTGACTTGATTATTGTGCTTAGTACCATGATTTAAAATATTTATTTATCCAGCTTCTCTTTAGTGGATTATAACTTTCATAAATACAGGAAACTAGTATTTTGTGTGTGTGTGTGTCCTTCAAACCTCTGTACAGGGCAAAGCATATGGTAGTTGCTTATTGGATGAATCAATAATCCATTAAATAATCATTCTATTTTGTTCTCATATTACTTCTGAACTTGATCAACATCAGAGTCTGCCAAATGCTTTTATTAACTATTTACATTCTATATTGTTACTAAAATTTAAACAATTTTCTGTTAAAAATGTTTTCACTGTGCTTCCCTTCATCTTACAGGGTAAATTCATGTTTGGTTTGATGAGTAAGTGTATTTAGACATTTATCTGGCAAACTTGAATAAATTCTTCTGGGATGATAGATCAGTGTACTGTGTTTTAAAGTAATACTATAGCATGTGGAATTTACCACAACAGCTTCTAGCAGCAGCAATAGCTAACATTTATATAACATTTACTATGTGCCAGGCTGATAGTTAACTCAAAACTATTTTCCAGGCACTATTTAACCACTTAATGTAGATTAATTTATTTACTCTTCTCAATAGTGCTATGAGGCTGGCATTATTGTTCCTATTTTACATATGAGAAAACTGAAGCAAGGAGAGGTTAAATGAAGTGCCCAAGGTTATGCACCTGGTAAGTGGTAGAGTTAGCATTATTGGCTTCAGACCATCGGTCCGTGATCCTGACCGCTATGCCAAAGATTATTCAAAGACTGCTCTTCTAGATAACATTTAGAACATGACCCTGAGGGGGAAAAATTAAGTGGTAAAGCTACAATTACAGAAATGTAACCTATCTGGAATGCAGTAACATCAACATTAGGCTAAGAGAGTTTTACTGATG